>NC_000006.12:99919274-100070790 GCF_000001405.40 Homo sapiens | reverse complement strand
CCTTACACCTTATACAAAAATCAATTCAAGATGGATTAAAGACTTACATGTTAGACCTAAAACCATAAAAACTCTAGAAGAAAACCTAGGCATTACCATTCAGGACATAGGCATGGCAAGGACTTCATGTCTAAAACACCAAAAGCAATGGCAACAAAAGACAAAATTGACAAATGGGATCTAATTAAACTAAAGAGCTTCTGCACAGCAAAAGAAACTACCATCAGAGTGAACAGGCAACCTACAAAATGGGTGAAAATTTTCACAACCTACTCATCTGACAAAGGGCTAATATCCAGAATCTACAATGAACTCAAACAAATTTACAAGAAAAAAACAAACAACCCCATCAAAAAGTGGGTGAAGGACATGAACAGACACTTCTCAAAAGAAGACATTTATGCAGCCAAAAAACACATGAAAAAATGCTCACCATCACTGGCCATCAGAGAAATGCAAATCAAAACCATAATGAGATACCATCTCACACCAGTTAGAATGGCCATCATTAAAAAGTCAGGAAACAACAGGTGCTGGAGAGGATGTGGAGAAACAGGAACACTTTTACACTGTTGGTGGGACTGTAAAGTAGTTCAACCATTGTGGAAGTCAGTGTGGCGATTCCTCAGGGATCTAGAACTAGAAATACCATTTGACCCAGCCATCCCATTACTGGGTATATAACCAAAGGACTATAAATCATGCTGCTATAAAGACACATGCACACGTATGTTTATGTTTATTGCGGCACTATTCACAATAGCAAAGACTTGGAACCAAGCCAAATGTCCAACAATGATAGACTGGATTAAGAAAATGTGGCACATATACACCATGGAATACTATGCAGCCATAAAAAATGATGAGTTCATGTCCTTTGTAGGGACATGGATGAAATTGGAAATCACCATTCTCAGTAAATTATCGCAAGACCAAAAAACCAAACACCGCATATTCTCACTCATAGGTGGGAATTGAACAATGAGATCACATGGACACAGGAAGGGGAATATCACACTCTGGGGACTGTTGTGGGGTGGGGGGAGGGGGGAGGGATAACATTGGGATATATACCTAATGCTAAATGATGAGTTAGTGGGTGCAGCGCACCAGCATGGCACATGTATACATATGTAACTAACCTGCACAATGTGCACATGTACCCTAAAACTTAAAGTATAATAATAAAAAAAAAAATTAACAAATCTCCAACAATAAACCCCAAAGAAAGGGAGATCTATGACATGACAGAAATAAAATTCAGAATAATCTTCTTTTAAAAAGTTCAATGAACTTCAAGAATATTCAAATAAAAAATTAAATACAACTTGGATAAGAATACATGCATAACATGAGAAGTTTGACAAACAAAAAAAAATTAAAGATAAACAGGAATTTTATAGTTAAAGAATACAATGATTAACCTAAAAAGTATAATAGAAAGCTTCAACAGCCAGCTCAATCAAGCTGAAGAAAGAATCAGTGAATTCAAAGGTAGAACATGTAAAATTACCCAAGAGAGGAGGGAAAAAAAGAAACACAAAGAGGAAATGAAGAAAACCTATGGGAATTATGAAATACTATCAAGAGACCTAATCCACACAAAATTGGCATTCCAGAAGGAAAGGAAAGAGAATGACGGCCAGAAAGCATATTTAAAGAAATAATAAAATAAAGCATCCCTAATTGGAAGAAAGAAGATAAAATTCAAGTACACGAAGGTAAGAAGTCACCTGTGAAATTCAACCCAAAGAGTTCACCAAGATATATAATAATCACACTACCAAAAATCAAAGACAAAGAAATCCTGAAAGCAGCAAGAATTAAGAAATACATCACATACAAAGGAGTCCCAATACATCTATCAGTGGATGTCTCAGTAGAAACTAGGAGAGAGTGTGATAATACATTCAAAGTGTTGAAGGGGGAAAAAAAAAACCTGCGAACCAAGAATACTTTACCCAGCCAACTTATATTTGAGAAATAAAAACATTTCCAGACAAACAAAAGCTAAGGGAGATTATCACCATAAGGCCTGCCTTACAGGAATTGTGAGAGAGTTATTTAACCCTTTTCCCATTTGCCCTAAGAACACTGTCCAGTGGTGGTTATGGCTGTAGCATTTACCCTGAGATAACTTTGCCACAAAATATCTCACTTTTATTATTATTTTCACATTGCTCTAGTCTATCGACTTTGGGAAAAAAAAGACATCATTCTGTTTATAGAATTCTGTTTTTAGTAGTGATATTTCCATTTACAAAATGTAATAATTCTAGATAGTTGAAAATGTCAAATCCTGGAAAATGTAGCATTCCTACAAGTGATGTTAACATCACTCTCAAACAGCTGTTGGCTGAAGATTCATTCGATAAGTCTGATTTTTCCATAATAGTTGATTCTGATTATTTAGATGATTCTGATATTAGTTCTGTTTAGAAATAATTCCAAGAACAGTTTTTATATTTTATTTTTACATTGAAAATCAGTCAGATTTGCTTCAGCCTCAAAGAATGTGTTTATGTAAAATTAAATGAGTGCTTGCAATGAACTGCACTTTTTTTCTAAATGGGAAAAGGCTTAAACTGAAATGAAAGGCTGCTAATTAATAGAATAAACTTACAAAAGCACGGAACCCAATGGTATAAGTGATACAGAGCAATATTCAGAATGCCCTTAAAGTGTAATTGTGGTACGTAAAGTAACTTTATCTCCATTTCAAGGGTGAAAATACATTAATGAAAACTATAGCTGAAATAAATTTTCAACAGATATGTATTATAAAATGATGTAAATTCAACCATCAAAAATGTAAAATTTGAAAAGAGTGTAAAAGTGTAGCATTGTATATAATTAAACTTAAGCTGTTATCAGATTGAAATAGACTAAATGTACAATGTTCAATGTAAGCCTCATGGTAACCATAAAGCAAAATTCCATAGATACACACAACAAAAATGTAAAATATTCAAATCATACCACTACAGAAAACCATCAAACCACAAAACGAGACAGAAAGAAAGGAAGAAAGAAAGAAGGTATTTACAAAACAACCAGAATACAATTTTTTAAATGGCAGTAGTGAGTTCTTTGCTATCAATAATTACCTTAAATAAAAAAGAATTAAATTCTGCAGTCAAAAGACATAATGTGAATGAATGGATAAAATGTAAAAAAGGATCCAATTACGTTACCTATAAGGAATTCACTTCACTTTTAAGGACACACATAGACAAAGTGAAGGGATGAAAAAAGATATTCCATGCAAATGGAAATTAAAAGAGCAGAAGTCGTGACACTTATATCAGACAAAATAGACTTAAGTCAAAAATTGAAAAAAAAGACAAAGAAGGTCATTATATAATAATAAAGGAGTCAACATCAAAAGGACATAACAATTGTAAACATACATGTGCCCAACAGTGGAGCACCTGATATGTAAGACAAACATTAAAGGATCTGAAGGGAGAGATAGATTCCAGTACAATAAAAGCAGGGGACTTTAATACACCACTTTCAATATTGAATAGATCATTAAGAAAGAAAACTAATGATGAAACCCTGGACTTGGACAACACTTTAGATTAAATGAACCTAACAGACACTCATGGAACATTCCATCCAACAACATAATACACATTCTTCTCAAGAGCACACAAATCTTTCTCCAGGAGAATTTATAAGTTAGGCTACAATACAAGTCTTATCAAATTTAAGAATATTAAAATCATATCAAATATCTTTTTCAACCACAATAATATAAAACTATCTTTTATATTAGGATTTTCAGAAGATTAGCAAATACATGAAAATTAAGTAACATGCTCTTGAACAACAAATGGGTCAATGAAGAAATTAAAAGGGAAATTTAAAAATATGTCAAGATAAACAAGAAATGAAGACACAACATCCCAAAACTTACAAGATGCAACAAAAGTGGTTCTAAGAGGAAAGTTAATAGTAATAAATGTCTATGTCAAAAAAGAAGAAAGGTCTCAAATAAACAACTTAACATTATGCCTCAAGGAAACAGAAAAAAGAACTACCTACACCCAATGTTAGCAAAAGAAAGGAGAAAATAAGGATCAGAAAAATTATACAAAAGATCAATCAAATTGAGAGTTCGTTTGTGAAAAGATAAACAAAATGGACACCTTTTAGCTAGACTAACAAAAGAAAAAAAAGACTCAAAGTCAGAAATGTAAGTGGAGACATAACTGACACTACAGAAATATGAAGAATTATAAGAGATTTTTATGGACAATTATATGCCCCCAAATTTCATAACCTAGGAGAACTGGATAAATACCTGGAAACATACAACCTGTCTAGACTAAATAATTAAGAAATAGAAAATCTGAACAGAGCAATAACAAGTGAATAAGTAAAAAAAAAAAAAAAAAAAAAAACCGTTTCCTGTTAAAGAAAAGCACAGGACCTGATGGATTAACTGCTGAATTCTATCAAACATTTAAAGAACTACTACCAATCCTCCACAATCTTTTCCACAAAAACAGAAGATGGTGGAATACCTCCACACTTTTTCATGAAGCCAGCGTGACTCTGATACAAAAGCCAGATAAAAACATCACAAGAAAAGAAAGCTACAAGCCAATATCCTTGATAAACATACATGCAAAAATACTCAACAGGATACTAGCAAACTGAATTCAACAACACTTTAAAAGGGTCGTTCACCATAATCCGGGGGATTTATCCCTTGAAGGCAAAGATGGTTCAATGTTTACAAATCAATAAATGTGATACACCACATTAAAAGAATGAAGTACAAAAATAATATAATCATCTCATTAGATGCAGAAAAAGCATTTGAGAAAATTCAACATTCTTTCATGAAAAAAGTACTCAGCAAATTCGGTATATAAAGGATGTACTTCAGCCCAAAAGGTTAAAAACATGCAAACACATTTTTAAGTACAAAATTCCAGAACGAAAATAGTCTTGAGAGTGTATTTATTTCCTCACAATTTGATGTTGATTTTAAATAATAGCATTTATAGTTTCCTATTCTTGAGTTGTTGAATAGAAGCTTACCTGGGGTAATCAAAAGTGGTGAGACAGAAGGAAGCCTCTGGCCTTCATTTCTATTTAAAAATTAAGCACAAAGGCCACTTTGCAAAGGGTGGCTTTCTATCAGAATAAGCCACTTTATACTCCATCATTTGTGCATTGTACTGTGTAGTATGATGTTGAGCTTATCATTTCAACACTTGTGGTGTGGAAGGAGCTGATAAGAATTTTCCCTTTCATTAATCTTATGTTAAAATGCCTGATTCAGGCAGGGTACAGTGGCTCATGTCTGTAATCCCAGCACTTGGGGAGGCCAAAGTGAGCAGATTACTTGAGCTTGGGAGTTCGAGATCACCCTGGGCAATAGGGAGAAACCTGATCTCTATTAAAAAAATACAAAAATTAGCTGGGCATGGTGGTGCATATGGGTAGTCCCAGCTGCTTGGGAGGCTGAGGTAGGAGTATTACTTGAGCCCAGAAGGTCAAGGCTGCAGTGAGCAGAGATCATGCCACTGGACTTCAGCCTGGGTGACAGAGAAAGACCATGTCTTTAAAAAAGCCTAATTCAAATAATAAACATTCAGCATCTACATTTCACAGTTTCTTAATGAACAAGGAACATTAATAGAAGAATTGTTGGATGTGAACATACTAACAAATAACCTTTAAATATTGTGATCACAAACACCAATAACTATTAAGTATTGATTAAAATGCAATCAAAGAGTCATAAACCTAAAAGTTTACCAGAAGACTTTGATACCCTGAAGTATCCGGAGCTCTCTGCCCTCTTTAACATTTCGTTTTGTTATTTCCATCAAAATCTTTCCTATATAAATCCCATTTCATTCTCTTTGATTTCTTGTAAATAAGCAGAAAAACTCAGTTTGCTTCTGATAAAAATCTCCTTATATATTTCACAAAGGCATAAAAAAATCATCATTTAATTGATCTTTTTTTTTTCTTCATGACACCTAAGTTTCACTAGAGTATGGCTGGTGTAATCTTATCATGATCTACAGTTCATTTGAGTAATAACCCCAAATATGTGTTTTCACTTTTGTAAGTGATTTATAGCTTGCATTGAAGGCCCAGTGGTGTTGAATTTTTCCATCGTTATGCCTCTTATAGAGATTAAGGGTCCTATTTCTTTCAATTCTTTTTGAGGAAGGGAAAAAAGAAAGAAGGAATGAACATATTGAGTGCTTGTATGTTAGGCATTGTGCTGGATGTTTTCACAATTCCTCCTGCTTAATTGTCCCAACAAATGACTGAAATGGTTATTATTTTCTTCATTTTGTGAGAAAACAAAGAATTAGAGTTATGTAAGTTGTTGAATATTGCACAGTTATTAAAAAGCAGGGGCTGAATTTCAGGCCTGTAATATCATGAGTTCATAACACGAGTGAAATCCAACTCTTGGAATATGAAATTCCAGATGTAGCTAATACTCATTGCAAAATTGATACCTCCAAAACACCTGTTCAATCCCCCTTGTACTTTCTGGCATTGCACACCTTCTACATTAGTACATATACTTAAAGAAAAACAACATTGACTTACAATATCAAAACAACTTTATGCAAATATTCTGCTATACACAAGATCCACAATTAAGAAGTTTTTTAAGAAAAAGAATAGTTTTGTTGCATGAGATTTCACTGGTAGAGCTAATATTCAGTGAAGTGTGAACAATAGAAAGCACAGACAAGACTTTCAGGAAGAGGTCACTCTTCATAGAGTGTTTAATAGGTGCAAGTGTTTGATTCTAACCTACACATTCTATAGCTTTAACGGGAATTTTTGCATAAATAACTCTGATCATAACATTGTGGGGGTGCATAAAATAGTAAACAGGTCCTCCAACCTGGGTTGTGGGTAACTAAAAGATCTTCCAGGGTGGAAGTGGGAAAGGTGGGGGTTGGAAGTATACATTTAGGATAATAGAGAATGGGAAAGATGAGGTTGGCAAGGGGCACGGCATGACAAATGGAAATATCATGACCATAGGTAAGGATGACTAACTCATGTTAAAGATGCCCTCTGTTATTTGAGGAAAAAGGCAAAAATTAAATGAAGGGCCTAATAATTCATTTTTCGAAGCCAGAATATAGTGATATAATACCATAACATTTACTAAGAGAAAGCAACATGAAGATTCTGCTTTAGAGACCTTGATTTTTAAAAAGAATGGTGAGATAAAGAGAGAGCACATTTGGGTTGAAACCTTTTAACATAAGCTAGTCTGGCTCTGGAAAAAAAATAATTTCTATCCATTTTCTATTCAGTTCCTGAAAAGAGGATGCAATTTCACAAGTATTATATGAATTCTTAATAGTTGCATGTCTAAATAATTTTGTATATTTAAGAGGTAATTACAAGTGTTGCTGGAAGAGCTTTTTGCTTTGATTTTTGAAATATGTATGGTTATTGTGAGAAATTTAAGCAATATGAAATAATGTAGAAAGTGAAATTAACCTCTGTACCACTTCCCAGGCCTCTAATGCATAGCTTCAAGAAGTTAACACTGCTAACTCTTTGACAAACATCTGTTATGCAACTAGCTTTATTTTCTACTTAATATTTTTCTTTCCATGTGAGTACAGACAAGTTCTCATTCTTCTTAACAGCTATGTGATACTCCATAACATGTACCATAAGTGGATTGTAATATTTACATACCAATTATGTATCAAATATTTTTAACCTCTTAATGAGCCTTTAGATTGTCTCCAATCTAAAGATTGTTCGCTATGGCAAACAATCTTGTATACGCGTGGAATTTTGACATGTCATTTAAAAAAATTCTAAGGAGTAATTTTGGCAAGTTTTCTTTGGTGCTATTATGAAAGCTAAATTCCTTTGTTTGGGATTCCATTAATAAACTTAATGGCTGTAGGACAGTCATTTAGGAAATGTGATTAAGTAGCAAGCAAAGGAGGCTTTCAGCATGAGTGCATGTGAATACGTAATAAATTTCCACATGAGAAATTTTAGAGAATGAACCAGGTAGCTCTGTGACTATGGATTAAAAACCACATTTGGGAATTGTCTGTCAAACACATCAAAGCATTCTGCATTAGTTACTTACTGGGGTTAGCAGAAGAAATGATTGCTGCTGCTTTCTTTTATGTCTTGGATGAAAGGGGAGCATAGAGGTAGATTTTGGTGCCTCTCTCCTTATGCCATCGAATTTATTTTGTTTGGAATTATGTAGTGCTTGAAAAAGCACATTATTCCATTGAATAATGTTTTAGACTTACACACTGATAACTCAGTATTTTAGTAAAATAAACTTAAAATCTATTTTTAAATGAAAAGGCATAAACGTATTTGTTTATGTACATAGATATCTGTAAAAGTGGCTTTTAAGAATCCTAGTACACTACAAGAAAACATTGAGGTCAATCTCCAGGACATCGGTCTGGACAAAAATTTCCTGAGGAATACTCCACAAGCACAGTCAACCAAAGCAAAAATGGACACATGGAATCACATTGAGTTAAAAAGCTTCTGCACAGCAAAGGACACAATCAACAAAGTGAAGAGACAACGCACAGAATGGGAGAAAATATTTGCAAACTACCCTTCTGACAAGAGATTAATAGCCAGAATATATAAGGAGCTCAAACAACCCTATTGGAAAAAATCTAATAACCTGATTAAAAAATGGGCTAAAGATTTGAATAGACATACAAATGGCAAACAGGCATATGAAAAGGTGCTCAATGCCATTGATCATTAGAGAAATGTTAAGTCAAAACTACAATGAGATATCGTCTTACCCCAGTTCAAATGGCTTTCATCCAAAAGACAGATAATAGCAAATGCTGGAGAGGATGTGAAGAAAAGGGAACCCTCATGCACTGTTCACGGGAATGTAAGTTAGTGCAAGCACCATGGAAAACAGCTCCAAACGGAGCTTTCTCAAAAAACGAAAAATAGAGCTCCCATATGACCCATCAATCCCACTGCTGGGTATGTACCCAAATGAAATTAAATCAGTATATTAAAGAGATATCTGCACTCCCATGTTTGGTGTAGCATTGCTCACAATTGTCAAGATTTGGAAACAACATAACTGTTCATTAACAGATGAATAGATAAAGAAAATATTGTACATGTACACAATAGAGTACTATTCAAACATAAAAAAATGAGATTTGCAACAGCATGAATGGAACTGGAGGTCATTATGTTAAGCAGAATAAGCCAGACACAGAAAGACAAACATTGCAAGTTCTTCTTTATTTGTGGGATCTAAAAATCAAAATAATTAAATTCATGGAACTCATGGAACAGAGAGAGTAGAAGGATGGTGAACAGACGCTGGAAGGGTAGGTGGAGGTGTTGGAAGGAGGTAGGGATGTTTACTGGGTACAAAAAATAGAATGAATGAGTAAGATCTACTATTTGATAGCACAACAGGGTGATTACAGTCAATAATAACTTAGTAGTACATTTTAAAGTGACAAAAAGAGTATAATTAGATTATTCATGGCATAAAGGATAAATGCTTGAAGGAATGGATGCCCCATTCTCCATGATGTGATTATTATACATTGCATGCCTGTATGAAAACATTTCATTTCTTCCATAAATGTATACACCTGCTATGTACCCACAAAAATTAAAAATTAACAAGAAAGATTCCTAGCATTCTAGAACTGGAAAAAAATTGTGAGGATCATTTAGTCAGTATACTATGGAGAAAATGAAGTCCCGAAAGGCTAAGATAGTTGCCTTAGGTCGTACAGTCAGTGTATAGCACAGGTTGCACCAGAATCCAGACACATGTACCTAGTCTAGTGTCTTTTTCGTCATTCCATTTGCATGAAAAGAATAATTGATAAAAATAAACAAATTGACCATTGTTAGTTTCTTTGCACTTACAGAGCCAGACATGAAGGGGAGTTGATCGATCTTTGGTTTATGTAATCAATGATGACAAACTCTGAGTCTAGTATTGGGCCTGGATGGTCCTGATTTGTGACTGACTGAAGAGGCTACCCTACCTGTCCTGCACTCCACATCGACACTCCCACCCAGGGCAAAATGCAGCTGCAAAATGCCAATGTCTTATATCCATTGTTGGGCTCCAGCATAATTAGCAGCTGCCCAAATAATTAACTATTTATTAACAAGCAGGCTGTATGGAAGATTACTTAAGGAGAAATAAAGCCTGAGCCATTGTGACCCTTATTATTGCTGAGGGTGGCTCTGCTCTGTAAGAAGTTCTGTCCATAAGATAGATAATTTGGAAATACCAAGAGAAATCCAAAGTAATTGTACTTTAAAACAATAAAAACAGATGATTTAACAAGGCAAATAATCCCATAGGCCATCATGATTTTTCCTGAATCCCTTATTTAATTTCTAGGTTTTTCTCCTCAACTTGAGGTGATAGATTTTCACATTACTCCACTGCCCACTCTGACACGCAAATAACAATTGAAAGCAGGACCTAGGGTATTCAGAGTAGTATTTCTTAACTCATATCAAACTTCATCCTCCACTATCTAATGTATCCACCGTCAATCTCAAAAATGAGGAGATGATGGAGAAAACAAGGGACAAAGTACATAAAATCCCTATTCTGGGAAATGACAGTAACATTTCTATTTAGCTAGAGAAACTTTACTCGTTCTTCAACGTGCAATTCAAATGTTATCTCCTCAGTAATAAATCTTTGACTTCTCTTTTATCAATTACTTCTACACTATGGTTTCCATTGTATTTGTATGTACATTAGGGTCCTCTTACATTTTATAAAAAACATATGGTTCTCTATCTCCCGTAATTATGAATTTCTTGAGGACATAAAATTGTGTCTATCAATGTTTGCCTATAGCTTATTACACAGCAGGTAATGAGCAAATGTGTGTTAAATTTCTACAATCCGCTTTGTGTCATCTGATTTGGTCAGAAAGTATAATTATCCTGATTAAAGCGAAAACATATGTGCTCTACATAAAGAGTCAACATTAATTTAAAAAAAACACACAATAAAATGCACTTAACACCTGATTTGCACTAACAGGTTTTCATTTTTCTGTGATAATTCACACAGCACTTACCATGTCTCAGGGTCATCATTATAAACGTCAATTGCTGCTCTGTGGAATATGTCCACAAATGCCAGTTAATGCAAATCTCTGGCAAATAGAATGTCAGATAAACCACCTGTCTCTTTATTTGTTCTTCCTTCTACCACACATCACTTAAGCACCCACTTTGACAATGGTTAGGGTTACCCATGACTGATCCATAGGTTCTATCAATTCTTGTTTCTAAGAATCAGGATTGGATGTCTGCAGGATTTTTTTTCTTTCTTTCTCACTTAATATACAGCATTCCTCAGTGCGTGCGCGCACGCACACACGCACACACAAACACACATTCACTCACACATTCCCTATCACATTTTAATATCCATATTCAGCTCCATAGGCACTCGTCATGTAAAAATGAATGTGAAATGAGCCAAATAAAACCAATAGCACTCAGCTTATACAGTTTTTTTAAAATCTGATGTTTATTCAAGCACTGTCTCTGGTAATTCTCAGAAGATGTTAAAGTATATCCAATTACTAAGGTCATCTATGCAAACAGTAGAGCAATCATCTGATTTGGGGTCAATAAGGAAGAGCAATCATAAAGGATTCAAAATTCCAGATCTCCATCATTCTGGATTTGACTTCCAAAATGGAAGAAAAGCTAGTTTTATAATACAAAATTATAATACAAAAAAATTTGGAGAGGTCTTCTGACTTACAAAAAAAAAAAAAAAAAAGAAAGCCAGCTGAACCTTACCTTGCCAGGCATTTGGTAACTGTTGAGGATAACATTAAAATAATTCACTAAACAACTCTGATTCTTCAGAAAAAAGGATGGTCTGCTTTTAACATGCTATAGTTACAGAATATTTGGGCCCAACGCACCAAGAATCCATCTTACAAATTAATAAACTGACAAGATTATCAAATTTTAATATTATGAGTTATTGACAGTAACAGTCAACTAATCCAGAAATGCTATTTCTCCTAAAAAAAAAACTTCTGTGTAGCAAATAAGAACAGCCATACAAAGTACATATAAATTAAGATGGCCCTATTTACCAAAAAAAGATACCTAGTTTAATTTTAATTACATATAATCAACAAATAATTTTTAGTATAAGTATGTCCTATGCAATATTTGTATGTCCTGTATTTTATCTGGCAACCCAAATATAAATCTACTAAGGAGGCCATTTATCCAGCAAATTTTGTGGCAGAGAAGGGAAAAAGACCCCTCAAATCTGGCTTTACTCAAACGTTTCACTTATTTCTAAAAATAGGAATGGAAATAAAAATGAAGTAAATCTGTTTAGAACTTTACGCTTTTTAAGGTCTAGAAAGGTTCAACCATTTAGCAACATGTTTACTTTCCTCAATCACAGCATTATAAGTCTCAATAGTTATTGAGTTAGTGTGTGATTATTTTATTACCAAAAGATCTCTAAAGACTGAATCTCCTCTTCAAATAGTTGCATAGACTCTTGCTCATTCTTCTCATAAAGAGACCTAGAAATAAATTTCTAATCCTTTTGAAATTCAGTGTCCAGGATGACTCATTAAACATGGTGTGCTTTGGAATCAGGAAGTTTATTTTTGCAACTTATGTAGACTGCTATAATGTACCGAGACCTGACAACTTGGAATTAAAAAGAAGCCACAGGGACTGGACATGGTGGCTCACGCCTGTAATCCCACCACTTTGGAAGGCTGAGGCAGGTGGATCACTTGAGGTCAGGAGTTCCACCTCAGCCTGGCCAACATGGCAAAACCCTGTCTCTACTAAAAATACAAAAATTAGTCAGGCGTGGTGGCGTGTGCCTGTAATCCCAGCTACTCGGAAGGCTGAGGCACAACAATCGCTTGAACCTGAGAGGCGGAAGTTGCAGTGAGCCGAGAGGCACCACTGCTCTCCAGCCTGGGCAACAGAGCCAGACTCTGTCTCAAAAAAAAAGAAGGAAAGAAGGAAGGAAAGAAGGAAGGGAGGAAGGCAGGGAGGGAGGGAAGGAGGGAAATTGCTTTCCAGGTAAGGAGCCACTTTCTCATGCCCAAGATGAACCTGTGCTCAGAAGTACTCCTGCACTCCTCGTCAGGCTTGAGAGACAAATGGTCTGTCACCTCCCTCATCCTCTCTCGGAGTGGGGAGGACAAAGGGCAGCAAACCCAGCCCCCGGATCTCTTTATGCAAACCTGTTGGACTGCTTGTTGCCTTTTCCAAGTATCAGGACTTATTGGATATAGATTATAAACGAATTGAGAAGTATTTGAATTATTTTGTTAATAATATATTTATATTTGGTAATATATGCTCTCCTTTATTATTTGGTAACTTTATAATTAATTGGCAGTCTCTTTCAGGGTGGACACTGTTCAGCGTGGGACTTTTTCCTGATATATTAACGCTTCCACAAAGGCTCAGACTCTCCCAGGCACGCTTGAATGGCTCACCTACTAACCACACCCTGCTGGTATGTTGACAAGTCATTTTCTCACCTTATTCTTGACCCACAACACTGAGGAAGGGCTATTCTGCTATTCTCCTCCAAAAGATGCCTCAGCAATGTCCACATCCTAATGTCAGTTATGGAAACTTTGCAGCCACACAGTCCTCATGGCTTCCACCCATGGCATTGCATTAGCTCAGAAAACATGAGACTGGTGATCCATCACATATCATTAAACTCAAAATGCCATTAATTGTAAGGCGCACAAATACTTTATATTCCACTAAAAAATAAAATGCTCCCATTAAATTACGGCACATTCTACCAAAAAAAGTTAAAATTTATAAAAAATTTGGTAAAGTTACAGGATTCAAAATCAACATACAAAAATAAGTAGCATTATATATTCTGATAATGAACTACCTAGAAAGGAAATTAAGAAAACAACTCCATTTACAATAGCAACAAAAAAATCAAATACTTAGGTGAAAATTTAACTAAGGAGATAAAAGACCTGTATTTTGAAAACTATAAAACACTAATGAAAGAAATTGAAGAAAACACAAATAAATTGAAAGATATCCAATATTTATGGATTGAAAGGATAAACATTGTAAAAATGTCCATACTACCCAAAGCAATCTATAAATTCAATGCAATCCATATGAAAATTCAGTGTCATTTTTCACAGAAATAAAAAAAGTCCCTAAGTTTATATTCAACCACAAAAGACCCTTAATAACCAAAACAATCTTGAGCAAAAAGAACAAAGATGGAAGCATCACAATTTCTGATTTCAAATTTTACGACAAAGCTATAGTTATTAAAACAGCATGGTACTAGCATAAAAACAGACATATAGGCCAATGGATTAGAACAGAGAGCCCAGAAATAGACCCAGACATTTATAATCAATTTATTTTTGACATAGATTTCAAGAACACACAATGAAGAAAGAACAGTTTCTTAAAAAAATAGTGTTGGGAAAACTAAATATTCACATATAAAAGAATAAAAGTTGATCCTTATCCAATTTACAAAATAAGCTGTATACAAAAATCAACCCAAAATGTATTAACAACTTAAATATTAAAGACCTGAAACTGTAAAACTACTAGAAGAAAACAGAGAGAATGCTCCAAGGACATCGGTCTGAGCAACAAGTTTTTGGACATGACCCTGAAAGCATAGGCAACAAAAGCAAAAATAGACAAATCGGACTACATCTAACTAAAAAAGTGCTTGCACAACAAAGGAAACAACAAAATAAATCCATAGAATGGGAGAAAATATTTACAAGCCATAATACAATAAGGGGTTAATATCTAAAATATTTAAGAAACTCAAACAATTCAATAGCAGGAAAACAAATAACTCAATTTAAAAATGGGCAAAGGGCTGGGCACAGTGGCTCATGTCTGTATTTGGGAGGGCAAGGCAGGCAGAGCACTTGAGTCCAAGGAGTTCAAGACCAGTATGGGTAAAATGGCAAAACCACATTTCTTCAAAAAATACAATTAGCTGGGTATGGTGGTGTGCACCTGTAGTCCCAGCTACTCAGTAGGCTGAGGTGGGAGGATCAGTTGAATCTGGGTGTATTAGTACATTTTCACACTGCCATAAAGATACTAACTGACACTGTGTAATTTATAAAGAAAGGAGGTTTAGTTGATTCACAGTTCCACATGGCTGGGGAGGCCTCAGGAAACTTACAATCATGGCAAAAGTTGAAGGGGAAGCAAGGCATGTCTTACATGGCAGCAGGAGAGAGAGAGAGAAGTGCTGCAAAGAAGGAACTTCCAAACACTTTTAAAACAACCATCAGCTCTTGTGAGTACTCCCTCACTAATTCAAGAACAGCATGGGAGAAACTGCCCCCATGATCCAATCACCTTCCCTTCAGGTCCCTCTCTTGACATGGGGGGATTACAATTTGAGATGAGATTTGGGTGAGGATGCAGAGCCAAACCATATCAGAGGTCAGGGCTGCAGTGAGCTATGTGTGTCACTGCACTCCAGAGTGAGACCCTGTCTCAAAAAAAGGTGGGGGTTAAAGGATCTGAATAGATACTTCTCAAAAGTAGACACATAAATGGCCAACAGGTATATCAAAAAATGCTCAGCATCACTAATCATCAGGGAAAGGAAAATTAATACCACTATGAGATATCACTTGACATCTGCTAGAAAACCTTTTATCAAAAAGATGAAAGATAACAAAGATGCAGGGATAAGGGAACTCTTTACATTGTTGGTGGAAATTGTGTACAGTTACATAATAGTGTAACTGTTATGGAAAATCATATGGAGGTTTCTCAAAAAAACTAAAAATAGAACTCCCATATAATCCACTAATCCCACGTCTGGGTATATATATCCAAAGGAACTGAAATCAATATGTCAAAGAGATATCTGCACTTTCATGTTCACTGTAACATCATTCACAATAGTCAAGCTATGACTAACCAACCTAAGAGTCCCTTTAACGGATGAATGGATAAAGAAAATGTGGTAGGGTATATGCACAATGGAATACTATTCGGCCTTAGAAAGGGGGAAAATCCTGTCATTTGTGACAACATGTGGAATTGATGAACATTTGCTAACTGAAATAAGCTAAGCACAAAAAGACAGATGCCACATTCTACTCCCTACTTCTGTAAGTTCATTTTTTTTTTTTAGTTTCCACATATAACAGCTCAGCCTCCCCAGTAGCTGGGATTACAGGTGCATGCCACCATGTCTGGCTAATTTTTGTATTTTTTGTCAAGACAGGGTTTCACTATGTTGCCCAGGATGGTCTCCAACTCCTGAGCTTGAGCGATCCACCTGCTTCAGATCGCTTGTTATATGTGGAACAGCTAATCTGTTATATGTGGAAACTGAAAAAATTGAACTTACAAAAGTGGAGAGTAGAAAGATGCTTACCATAGGCTACTAGAGGGTTGGGGAGGGAGGGAAAGAAGAATTGCTGGTCAAAGGGTATGAAGATTTAGATAGACAATAGTAGACAATAGTAATAGATTTTGAGACCTATTGCATAGCAGAATGATTATGGTTAATAATAATGTATATTTCAAAATAACTAAGAGAGTAAATGTAAAATGTCTCATAAAAAATGATAGGTAAAGCTGGGCATGGTGGCTCACACCTGTAATCTCAGTACTTTGGGAGGCCAATGCAGGTGGATCACTTGAGCTCAGGAGTTGGAGACCATCATGAGCAACATGGTAAAACCCTGTCTCTACAAAAAATACAAAAATTAGCCAGGCATGGTGTCATGCGTCTGTAATCCCAGCTACCGGGGAGGCTGAGGTGGGAGAATCACTTAAGCCCAGGAGGTGAAGGTTGTAGTGAGCCAAGATAGCGCCACTGCAGTCCAGCCTGAGTGACAGAGGCAGACCTTGTCTCAAAAAAAATAAATAAATAAAAGATAGCTAAGAGAGGTGATAGATATGTTAGCTTGATTTAGTCATTCCACATTGTATACATATACGGAAACATTACACTGTATACCATAAACGTATATGATTATGATTTGTCAATCAAAAATAATATTAATAAGTAAAATAATTTTTAAAATAAACTGACATATACTTTTTTTGAAACTTAGATTAAGACTGACAATAAGACCCCTTGGTTACTTCTTCAAAAGTAGACTTTTACAACAAGTTATTACTCTAGGGCATACATACAAAAATAAGCAAAAACATTCCATTTAGGTACTCCTAAAATTTTTTCATATTCAGAGTTCAATTCTTCTGTACAGACCCACCACTAACATTGGGAGAGCCCGGGAAAAAAATACAAGTGGAGGCCAACGTGCTATATTTCTAAATAGTTGGAAGTTATAATTCAAAACTATACCACAGCCCAGACCTTGTTCTCACCTATGTTCTCCAGGAATTACCCTACCCAGAGGCTAAAGGAGCCCCCTTGTCCCACACCAGGTTTGCCTCCTATCAATCAGAGACTAGCTAGGCCCGGGCAGAGTGGAAGCTGGGGCTAGACTCCTGGGTGGTGAGTAGACCTGTCCCAACCATGTCAAGCTCCCCAGGAGACAGGAAAAACACATTCCCCTTCCCCAGCCTCACTTTTCTTCAGGATTTTCAAGATGTTCTCAGCACCTCCCAAAACCGTACCACCCAGCTAGAGGAGAGGAAGACACACTGTTTTCCTGGGACCCTGCCCTGCCTAGACACCCACACTGTGTGGTGTGGAGGCACCAACTTAAACCAAAGCGCCACTCTTTCTCTGGGTTCCCAGAGTAGAATCTAGAACCCTTTCCCTCCACCCTCAGCCCCACTTCCTCTAGAAAGTGTGTGGGCACCAGCCATAATTCTGGAAAGTTCAGTTGCCAAACTTTCCAAAGACTTACCTACAAAATATAAAAAAAAAATAAGACACATTTGCGTTTCAATGTGTGCAAAATACGCAATCCTCTCAAAGGCAGGACCCACAGTAGGGCCCCTCTAGCCTGGGTCGAAGGGCAGTTCTGAATCACCTTTCTCCCCAGAGTCAGAGACATGCTTATTATCCCCCAAATACCATCCTCTGTGCACCAAAAGCAACGATGATGAACATTTCTTTAAAAGTGCTCTACTGTTTTCACCAGGAGATTTCCTAAGCCACTAATCACTAAGCAATGTTTTCAGATGATTAAGCAAAAGACAAAATGTTGACACATTATTTTTAGTACATTTGTCCAATTTCAAGTTGGCAAATAAATACAAGTGATTAAATCTTAATATTTCTGTTTTTATTCATCGATAAATGCCTCAAAAATTTCTACAAGAAAAACATATTTATTCATGCTTAAAAATTCAGCCTATATATTTTTTTCTTCTCACAAGCTCTTTAACTTCTAAAACTTTTGAGAAAGAAATCAAGAAAAAATATTTTTACCGTATACTTTTCTCATCCTCACTTTTACATTTTCATTTCGGAATAGCAGCTTAGAAGGAAAAAAAAAGATGGTTGTTCTAGGAAGAACAAATTGTCTTTATCCAGCAATAGAAGAAGTTAAATTTAAGAATAGCTCATTGCCTGTCATTAGCTGAGGTTGCTGGAAGGTAAAGGCTGCTCAGATTCACTTGTCAAAGTCTTCTCATGTTTTTTCTTCTACCTTCTCTAGTTGTAGGGTACAGGGCAAATTGCCCCTTCAAAATACAGATATAGCCATGCTTAAAATGTCATTTTTGTTTTTAGCACCAAGTTATTGCTAGAGGTATAATTATCCACTAAGAGAACTCGATTCAAATGAGTTTCCCTGGTAACTATGCAATTCATAGAGTCACAATTATTTTGTAATAGAAAAATAAGACAATGAAAGCCACAAAGGATATTGCTAAGCTTAATCCAGGTGATGGTATAGTACTCACCTCTATTTAAAAAGAAAATATTGGGGAATTTGGGAAGTAATATAGGCAACTACAGTAAATGCTTTCTTTGCATACAGAAAATCACAGAAGGGTTATTTCGACATGAATTCTATATATATTATACATATATTATACATATATAAGATTGATGTCCTCTTATGAAAAATGAAGAGACTGCCAACTAACTCATTTACTAACAGGGTTGCCAGATTTACAGAGGATAAAGACAGGATGGACAGTTAAATTTTGATTACAGTGAAATATTTTAGTATTAGTATATCCCAAATATTACAAAGGACATACTCATACTGAAAAATTATTCATTCCTTATCTGAACAATCATATTTAACCACATATTCTGTATTTTACCTGGCCATCCTATTTACTCATTATAATAACCCCATAAGTTTGGCTTTATCATCCTCATTTACAAGTAAGGAAATTGAGTCTCAGACAATTTAAATAAATCAAGATCATACAACTAGGAGGTAGCAGAACCCATATTAGAATCTAAACCCCTTGGTGTGATTCCGTCCTGCATGGCCATTCTCTGGAGCAGTAGTCATTTATCTCTGTCTGCCTTCTCTCCCACCTAAGTGCATGCCACCATCCCATGGAAGATTTCATGGACATAGACATGACCCTGAGGCCCCAGAACTATCTTTTTCAATTGTGAACTGAAGGCCAACAAAGATGATCACTTTAAGGTGGATAATGATGAAAATGAGCACCAGTTATCTTGAAGAACGGTCAGTTTAGGGGCTGGTGCGAAGGATAAGTTGCACATTGTTGAAGCAGAGACAATGAATTATGAAGGCAATCCAACTAAGGTAACACTGGCAACTTTGAAAATGTCTGTACAGCCAACAGTTTCCCTTGGGGGCTTTGAAATCACACTACCAGTGGTCTTATAATTGAAGCGTTGTTCAGGATCAGTGCATATTACTGGACAGCACTGACTAGTTGTGGAGGAAGATGCAGAGTCAGAAGATGAAGAGGAGGAGGATGTGAAACTCTTAAGTGTACCTGGAAGGCGATCTGCCCCTGGAGGTGGTAGCAAGCTTCCACAGAGAAAAGTAAAACTTGCTGCTGATGAATAAGATGATGATGATAATGCCGAAGATGATGATGATGGTGATTTTGATGATGAGAAAACTGAAGAAAAAGCTGCAGTGAAGAAATCTATAGGAGATACTCCAGCCAAAAATGCACAAAAGTCAAACTAGAATGGAAAAGACTCAAAGCCTTTTGAGTCAACACCAAGATCAAAAGGACAAAAATCAACACCAAGATCAAAAGGACAAGAATCCTTCAAAAAACAGGAAAAAACTCCTGAAACACATAAAGGACATAGTTCTGTAGAAAACAAAGCAAAAATGCAAGTATAGAAAAAGGTGGTTCTCTTCTCAAAGTGGAAGCCAAGTTCATCAATTATGTGAAGAATTGCTTGTGGATGACTGACCAGGAGGCTATTCAAGATCTCTGGCACTGGAGGAAGTCTCTTTAAGAAAATAGTTTAAACAATTTGTTAAAAATTTTCCATCTTATTCCATTTCTGTAACCGTTGATATCTGGCTGTCTTTTTTATTATGCAGAGTGAGAACTTCTCCTACCACGTTTGACAAATGTTGTTCAGGTTCTATTGCCAAGAATGTGTTGTTGTCCAAAATGCCTGTTTTAGGGAAGGGAACATCACACACTGGGGTCTGTCGAGAGGTAGGGGGGAAAGGAAGGGAGAGCATTAGGACAAATACTTAATGCATGCGGAGCTTAAAACCTAGATGACGGGTTGATGGGTGCAGCAAACCACCATGGCACATGTATACCTATGTAACAAACCTGCATGTTCAGCACATGTATCCCAGAACTTAAAGTAAAATTTAAAAAATGCCTGTTTAGTTTTTAAAGATGGAACTCCACCATTTAGTTGGTTTTAAGTATGTAGGGAATGTTATGATAGGACACAGTAGTAGTGGTGGTCGGACATGGAAATGGGGGGGAGACAAAAATATACATATGAAATAAAACTCAGTATTTTAATAAAGTAGCATGGTTTCTATTTAAAAAAAATCTAAAACCCATGTTTCAATCCTACATTCTTTTCATATACTAACTGAATTGTATCTAATGTATTGAGCAAACATGTAGGCCAAGTTCTACGTGCCTTATAAAAATTGACTTAGTTAATTCTCACTACAAACCTATGAGGTAGGCGTTATTATTATTTCCTTTCTACACATGAGAAAAATGAGGCATGGTGAGGTTAAACAACGTTCTTAGGCTCACATAGCTAGTAAGTGATAGAGTCAAGTTTCAAATCCAGGCAGTTTAGCTTCAGAGTATACCCTCTTCCCTCCATCCATCCATAGGTAGTGTCACCCTAATAAAGTCTCATTTTTGACTTTTGAGTAAAAAAAATGGACACAACCAAGCCTTAGAACACGGTTTTCAAATACACTAGAGAAACCTAGTTACAAGAGCATAAGGATGTTTCAGGTCATATAAGATATCAATGGCATGAGGAGAATAAAATTATTAGTAATTTGAACTTTTTTTTTTTTTTTTTTTCAGAGGGAGTCTCGCTCTGTCGCCCAGGCTGGAGTAGAGTGGAGCGATCTCGGCTCACTGCAAGCTCCGCCTCCCGGGTTCACGCCATTCTCCTGCCTCAGCCTCTCCAGTAGCTGGGACTGCAGGCGCCCACCACTGCGCCCGGCTAATTTTTTGTATTTTTAGTAGAGGCGGGGTATCACCGTGTGAGCCAGGATGGTCTCGATCTCCTGACCTCGTGATCCGCCCACCTCGGCCTCCCAAAGTGCTGGAATTACAGACGTGAGCCACCGCGCCCGGCCTGAACTTAGATTTTTAAAAGAGCAATAAATATTAAGAGTTTAAATATATTTATTGAATTAGTTAAATATTAAGACATTGAGCTGTTTTTAAAGTTCTTTAATGTAATAATAGATTTTGAAGATGATTTAGCATCACATCATTTCTAAGGCAAAACTTAACTTTAAGGAAAATATTTTCCATGAGGTCATGTTTCCTTATTGGCAATAGTGTAAAGTAAGTGAACATATCTGCAATGCCCAGTCCTTTTCCTTTTTTGCCCTAGACACAGCTCCAGTTGCCCATGGCAACATTATTATGCCTGCACCATCTCTACCACTCTCAAAGCTCTACTCTTAGACCCTTATTAAGCAAACTTACTTAGTTCACCCTTATGGAGCATATATATCTTAATAGAAGCATTTAGAAATAATGCCTTAATGCCAAAATAACTTAATTTTATTTTTATTTTATTTTTTTATTGTACTTTAAGTTTTAGGGTACATGTGCACAACGTGCAAGTTAGTTACATATGTATACATGTGCCATGTTGGTGTGCTGCACCCATTAACTCGTCATTTAACATTAGGTATATCTCCTAATGCTATCTCTCCACCCTCCCCCCACCGCACAACAGGAACACTTTTACACTGTTGGTGGGACTGTAAACTAGTTCAACCATTGTGGAAGTCAGTGTGGCGATTCCTCAGGGATCTAGAACTAGAAATACCATTTGACCCAGTAATTCCATTACTGGGTATATACCCAAAGGATTATAAATCATGCTGCTATAAAGACACATGCACACGCATGTTTATTGCAGCACTATTCACAATAGCAAAGGCTTGGAACCAAGCCAAATGTCCAACAATGATAGACTGGATTAAGAAAATGTGGCCCATGTACACCATGGAATACTATGCAGCCATAAAAAATGATGAGTTCATGTCCTTTGTAGGGACATGGATGAAGCTGGAAACTATCATTCTCAGCAAACTATCGCAAGGACAAGAAACCAAACACCGCATGTTCTCACTCATAGGTGGGAATTGAACAATGAGAACACATGGACACAGGAAGGGGAACACCACACACCGGGGCCTGTTGCAAAATAACTTAATTTTAATGTTGAGAATTTTAGGCATATGGGCAAGTTGTTAGGGGAGAAAGTTTTGGATTAGTCCACTTTTTGGATTAGCATTCATAGCTTTTATGTGACATATCAGTTAAAATTATATTCAGCTGCATGTAACAGAAAGAAAAAATAACAGTAGCTTAAATAATAGGGAAGTTCATTTTACTGTAATCTAAATGAAATCCAGAGATAGAAAGTCCAGGCCTAGTTTGGCAGCACAGGAGATGCACAGGAGATGGTGAAGCATAAATATTAGGGGCCCAGGCTCCACCGTCTCCTGTGCGTGGTTTCCATATTCAAGGTCACTTCCAAAACAAGATAGTTGCTAGAGCTTCAGCTTCTATGTCTACATTCCAGGCCAGTACCTATGCTTTCAAAGATCTTTCCCAGAAGTCTCACGTGCTTCTACTTACATCTCATTGCCTGGAGTTTAATCATATGGCCAAATAATGCTGAAAGAGAGTTTGGGAAATACAGTTGTCGTAGGTATATGGTATACGTGGGATTGGCTCCAAGACTCCCCCACCCCCAATACCAAAATCCACATATACTCTAAACCCACATTTGCCCTGCAGAATCCATGAACGCAGAAAGTCAGCCCTCCCTGTACTCAGGTTTTGCATTCTGCCAATTCTGTATTTTCCATCTGTGTGTAAGTGCAATTGAAACCTGTGTTGTTCAAGAGTCAACCATAGTCTTTTAGCTGGCCACAGTTTTCAAGGTTATGTTATAAAGAAAAATGGGGGAAATGTACATTAGAAGGAATGAATGCATGCAGAGTGGGACCAGCTATTTTACTTCCCAGTGAAGATGAACTTCCTGTGACAATCTAAAGTCTAAGATTAACTGGGTATTTTATGTGCCCTCTCAAACCCAGATAGCTCCTGAGCTTTACTAAGATCTCCAGCTATTAAAGAATGATGCAAGGTGGTCATTTAACAAAAACATATCCCTTTAGATTTTGTTTTGGGAATTTGTGCATGTGTTTGTATACACAATGGAAAGTTATCTTACTGAAGCATTACTTGACAATGGCAATAGCTAAACATTCAAATGGAATTTCTCGGAGACTCTCTAAGAGGTGATTCTTGAAAGATGGTTAAACATAGCACAGACATTCATTATACTGAAGAGAATTGAGAGGAGAGTGTGGGGCTAATTGGGGCAGGGACATGATTCAACAAAGTTCTTAGCTTTGTCATGTTATATGTAGATTCCAAGTGAATGATTGACATATTTTTAAAAACAAGTTCTTTAAAATATAACATTGGATAATCAATTTTCAAAATCATACATAAAGGCGTTTACTACAGCTAATAAATATTATTTTAAAACCTAGGCTCTTCGGAGATCTATCGAAACTTGCAAGAGCTCTGTTGTCACTGTCATATTCTAAAATCTCAATATAAATCTATATGCTTAACACATGTCACGTGAAATGAGCATAGAGTTGCCCTGGTTTAAAGACTCTAAATAATTGTATTTCAAGCCTGGTTTTAGTTCTCTATGAACCACTTCTTTCTCCAATCATACTCATAATGATTGACATCTCAAAGGTCTATGCCACCTGTGAACAGAGTTTTAATATCACCTTTTTGAATTAATGATGCATAAAGCTCAAAATAGGTTTAGAAGGTACCTACGGAAATAGAATTAAATCAGGAAAGAAGTGTGGTGGCCACAAAACTGTGTTTATCTTTTATATAGTAGGCAATTATCAGCATTTTTGTTAGCAATAATAAATTAAAATAGGCACAATTAAATTCACATATTTTGTGCTACGTATATCAGTTTGTGAAATATTAGTGTATGAATATCATATGTTATAACAAATAAATAAATAAAAATTCAACAAAAGTAATGATCCTTGTCCTCCAGAAATCTGCAATGTGCTAATAGAGAATCATAAACATGAAGGAAATGCAAACATACAGACCATAAGCACTTAGTTAATTTAGATCTAATTCATTCATGTTTTAAGGACATCAAATACAATATAATAAAATTTTTGGAAGAATGTCTTAATTTGAATTTATATTTTTATATATCATTTTTCATAATGTTTTCATAAGTTACTTGTTTTCATTGAATTTTATCTTAGCTTTAACATGTACCTTTATTACTTGAAATCACACTGCTTTAGTTTATAGTCATACTTTTCATGTCTTTAGATAGAATCTTATCTCCTCCACGCATTCATATTTAATCAACATATATTTATTGAGCTTACTGTGTACAAGACATTGTTCTAAGGACAAAGTATAATTAAGTTTTATTTTATGTCCTGTCCCGTATGTAGGAACAAATCCTATTGTTGAATCATTGATGAGCCATCATCACACCCCAGGAAATTTTTAAGTCATGAATTTACTTACTTCATTTCATTCCTCAGTCTATCCTGTGTCTTCAAATCTTCCCTCTAAGAAAATAATCTCTGATTCTTTTCATCTTTGATTCAGTTCCACCTAACTTTTATTCTCTTGTTACTAAATGCATACAAAACACTTCCCCTCCTGTTTTGTATGGTTAAAATAAAGAGATAATTAAAGCATGATTTCACAGATCACATAGTTTGTTGCCATATAAAGATATTTCTTTTCTTTTGCTTCACAATGCTTAAAGAGGGGGTGAATTATGTAAACAAATTTCACAGAGAACATACTTGATAGACCAAATACATTAACCACATTGTGAGTGAGTTCCAAAATATTAAAGTCTAGTTGCTTTATTAGGATGGATGCAGGCTTCTGTGGAAAGAAAAGTCTGTGGAAATTAAAGTTTGAGGTGTACCTTTATATGAGCATTTCTCCACGGACACATAAGATTCCTGTATGCTAGAGGGCAATGCCAGTACTAGAAGGCGATGCTTTGGAGGTTAGCTCAGAGGCTAACCGGGTGTGGTCCTGTCAAAGTCTGAGCTCTGGGTCTTCTCAGAGGTGTTAAGTGTAACCTGCCAGAGCATAAGCTCACAAAGTGTCTGTCCAACTCGAGTTTATTTGTATTTTTTTCAAGCTTTATTTTTATTTATTTATTCATTCATTATACTTTAAGTTCTGGGATACGTGTGCAGAACGTTCAGGTTTGTTACATAGGTATACATGTGCCATGGTGGTTTGCTGCACTCATCAACCCGTCATCTACATTAGATATTTCTCCTAATACTATCCCTTCCCTTGCCCCCAATCCCCCTACAGGTCCTGATATGTGATGTTCCCCTTTCTGTGCTGATATGTTCTCATTGTTCAACTCCCACTTCTGAGTGAGAACATGCGTTGTGTGGTTTTCTGTTACAGTGTTAGTTTGCTGAGAATGATGGTTTCCAGCTTCATCCATGTCCCTGCAAAGGACATGAACTCATTCTTTTTTTTGCTGCATAGTATTCCATGATGTATATGTGCCACATTTCCTTTATCCAGTCTACCATTGACGGGCATTTGGGTTGGTTCCAAGTCTTTGCTATTATGAATGGTGCTGCAACAAACATTCGTGTGCATGTGTCTTTATAGTAGAATGATTTATAATTCTTTTGGTACATCCCAGTAATGGGATTGTTAGGTCAAATGGTATTTCTGGTTCTAGATCCTTGAGGAATCACCACACTATCTTCCACAATGGCTGAACTAATTTACACTCCCACCAACAGTGTAAAAGCATTCCTATTTCTCCACATCCTCTCTAGCATCTGTTGTTTCCTGCTTTTTAATGAACACCATTCTAACTGATGTGAGATGGTATCTCATTGTGGTTTTGGTTTACATTTCTCTAGAGATCAGTGATGATGAGCATTTTTTCATATGTTTGTAGGCCTCATAAATGTCTTCTTTTGAGAAGTGTCTGTTCATATCCTTTGCCCAATTTTTGATGGGGTTGTTTGTTTTTTTCTTGTAAATTTGTTTAAGTTCCTTATAGATTCTGGATATTAGCCCTTTGTCAGATAAATAGATTGCAAAATTTTTCTTCCATTCTGTGGGTTGCCTGTTCACTGTGATGATAGTTTCTGCTATACAGAAGCTCTTTAGTTTAATTAGATTCCATTTGTCAATTTTGGCTTTTGTTACCATTGCTTTTGGTATTTTGGTCATGAAGTCTTTGCCCATGCCTATATCCTGAATGGTACTGCCTAGGTTTCCTTCTAGGATTTTTATGGTTTTAGGTCTTACTTTTAAGTCTTTAATTCATCTCGAGTTAATTTTTGTATAAGGTGTAAGAAAGGGATGCAGTTTCAGTTTTCTGCATACAGCTAGCCAGTTTTCCCAATGCCATTTATTAAATAGGGAATCCTTTCCCCATTGCTTGTTTTTATCAGGTTTGTCAAAGATCAGATGGTTGTAAGTGTGTAATGTAATTTCTGAGGCCTCTGTTCTGTTCCATTGGTCTATATCTCTATTTTGGTACCAGTACGATGCTGTTTTGGTTACTGTAGCCTTGTAGTATAGTTTGAAGTCAGGTAGCATGATGCCTCCAGCTTTGTTCTTTTTGCTTAGGATTGTCTTGGCAATGCAGGCTCTTTTTTGGTTCCATATGAACTTTAAAGTAGTTTTTTCTAATTCTGTGAAGAAAGTCAATGGTAGCTTGATGGGGATAGCATTGAATCTATAAATTACTTTGGACAGTATGGCCATTTTCACAATATTGATTCTTCCTATCCATGAGCATGGAATGTCCATTTGTTTGTGTCCTCTCTTATTTCCTTGAGTAGTGGTTTACAGTTCTCCTTGAAGAGGTCCTTCATACCCTTTGTAAGTTGTATTCCTAGGTATTTTATTCTCTTTATAGCAATTGTTAATGGGAGTTCACTCATGATTTGGCTCTCTGTCTATTATTCGTGTATAGGAATGCCTGTGATTTTTGCACATTGATTTGTATCCTGAGACTTTGCTGAAGTTGCTTATCAGCTGAAGGAGGTTTTGGGCTGAGACAATGGGGTTTTCTAAATATACAATCATGTCATCTGCAAACAGAGACAATTTGACTTCCTCGCTTCCTATTTGAACATCCTTTATTTATTTCTCTTGCCTGATTGCCCTGGCCAGAACTTCCAACACTATGTTGAATAGGAGTGGTGAGAGAGGGAATCCTTGCCTTGTGCCAGTTTTCAAAGGGAATGCTTCCAGTTTTTGCCTATTCAGTATGATATTGGCTGTGGGTCTGTCATAAATAGCTCTTATTATTTTGAGATATGTTTCATCAATACCTAGTTTATTGAGTGTTTTTTAGCATGAAGCGGTGTTGAATTTTATCAAAGGCCTTTTCTGGATCTATTAAGATAATCATGTGGTTTTGTTTATGTGATGGATTACATTTGTTGATTTGCATATGTTGAACCAGCCTTGCATCCCAGGGATGAAGCCAACTTGATCGTGGTGGATAAGCTTTTTAATGTGCTGCTGTATCAGTTTGCCAGTATTTTATTGAGGATTTTCACATCAATGTTCATCAGGGATATTGGCCTGAAATTTTCTTTTTTGTTGTGTCTCTGCCAGGTTTTGGTATCAGGATGATGCTGGCCTCATAAAATGAGTTATGGAGGAGTCCCTCTTTTTCTATTGTTTGGAATAGTTTCAGAAGGAATGGTACCAGTTACTCTTTGTACCTCTGATAGAATTTGGCTGTGAATCCATCTGGTCCTGGGCTTTTTTTTGGTTGGTAGGCTATTAATTACTGCCTCAATTTTAGAACTTTAGAACTTTTTATTGGTCTATTCAGGGATTCGACTTCTTCCTTGTTTAGTCTTGGGAGGGTGTATGTGTCCAGGAATTTATCCATTTCTTCTAGATTTTCTAGTTTAGTTACATAGAGGTGTTTATAGTATTCTCTGATGGTAGTTTGTATCTCTGCGGGATCCGTGGTGATATCCCCTTTATCATTTTTTATTGAATCTAGTTGATTCTTCTCTCTTTTCTTCTTTAGTAGTCTGGCTAGCAGTCAATCTATTTTGTTATTGTTTTCAAAAAACCAGTTCCTGGATTCATTGATTTTTTAAGGGTTTTTCGTGTTTCTATCTCCTTCAGGTCTGCTCTGATCTTAGTTATTTCTTGTCTTCTGCTAGCTTTTGACTTTGTTTGCTCTTGCTTCTCTAGTTCTTTTTTTTTTTTTTTTTTTTTTTTTTGAGACAGAGTCTCACTCTGTCACCAGGCTGGAGTGCAGTGGTGCAATCCCAGCTCACTGCAACCTCTGCCTCCCAGGTTCAAGTGATTCTCCTACCTCAGCCTCCCAAGTAGCTGGGACCACAGGTGACTGCCACCACACCCAGCTAATTTTTTGTATTTTTAGTAGAGATGGAGTTTCACCATGTTGGCCAGAATGGTCTCAATCTCTTGACCTTGTGATCCACCCACCTCAGCCTCCCAAAGTGCTGGGATTACAGGCGTGAGCCACCACACCCGGCCGCTTCTCTAGTTCTTTTAATTGTGATGTTAGGGTGTCGATTTTAGATCTTTCCCACTTTCTCATGTGGGCCTTTAGTGCTATAAATGTCCCTCTAAACACTGCTTTAGCTGTGTCCCAGAGATTCTGACACATTGTGTCTTTGTTCTCATTGGTTTCAATGAACTTATTTATTTCTGCCTTAATTTCATTATTTACCCAGTAGTCATTCAGGAGCAGGTTGTTCAGTTTCCATATAATTGTATGGTTTTGAGTGAGTTTCTTAATCCTGAGTTCTAATTTGATTGCACTGTGGTCTGAGAGACTGTTATGATTTCCGTTCTTTTGCATTTGCTGAGGAGTATTTTACTTCCAATTATGTGGTCAATTTAGAATAAGTGTGATGTGATGCTGAAAAGAATGTACATTCTGTTGATTTGGAGTAGTGAGAGTTCTGTAGATGTCTATTAGGTCTGCTTGGTCCAGAGCTGAGTTCAAGTCCTGAATATCCTTGTTAATTTTCTGTCTCATTGATCTGTCTAATATTGACAGTGGGGTGTTAAAGTCTCCCGCTATTACTGTGTGGGAGTCTAAGTCTCTTTGTAGGTCTCTAAGAACTTGCTTTATGAATCTCGGTGTTCCTGCATTGGTGCATATATATTTAGAATAGTTCACTCTTCTTGTTGCATTGATCCATTGATCCCCCTACCATTATATAATGCCCTTCTTTGTCTTTTTCGATTTTTGTTGGTTTAAAGTCTGTTTTATCAGAGACTAGGATTGCAACCCTTGCTTTTTTTTTTTTTTTTTTTTTTTTTTGCTTTCCATTTGCTTGGTAAATCTTCCTCCATCCCTTTATTTTGAGCCTATATGTGCACAAGATGGGGCTCCTGAATACAGCACACTGATGGGTCTTGACTCTTTATCCAATTTGCCAGTCTGTGTCTTTTAATTGAGGAATTTAGTTGAGGAATTTAATTTAATTTAGTTTGAGGAATTTAATTTAATTTAGTTTGAGGAATTTAATTTAGTTGAATAATTTAATTGAGGAATTTAGCCCATTTACATTTAAGGTTAATATTGTTATGTGTGAATTTGATCCTGTCATTATGATACTAGCTGGTTATTTTTCCCATTAGTTGATGCAGTTTCCTCATAGTGTTGATGGCCTTTACATTTTGGTATGTTTTTGCAGTGGCTGCTACCAGTTTTTCCTTTCCCTGTTAAGTGCTTCCTTCAGAAGCTCATGTAAGGCAGGCCTGGTGGTGCCAAAATCCCTCAGCATTTGCTTGTCTGTAAAGGATTTTATTTCTACTTCACTTATAAAACTTACTTTGACTGGATATGAAATTCTGGGTTGAAAATACTTTTTTTAAAGAATGTTGCATACTGGCTGCCCACTGTCTTCTGGCTTGTCGGGTTTCTGCAGAGAGATCTGCTGTTAATCTGATGGGCTTCCCTTTGTGGAAACCCGACCTTTCTCTCTGGCTGCCCTTAACATTTTTTCCTTCATTTCAACTTTGGTGAATCTGACAATTATGTGTCTTTGGGTTGCTCTTCTCGAGGAGTATCTTTGTGGTGTTCTCTGTATTTCCTGAATTTGAATGTTGGCCTGCCTTGTTAGGTTGGGGAAGTTCTCCTGGATAATATCCTGAAGTGTGTTTTCCAACTTGGTTCCATTCTCCCTGTCACTTTCAGGTACACCAATCAAATGTAGGTTTGGTCTTTTCACATAGTCCCTTATTTCTTGAAGGCTCCATTCATTCCTTTTCATTCTTTTTTCTCTGATCTTGTCTTCATGGTTTATTTCATTAAGTTGATCTTCAATCTCTGATATCCTTTCTTCCACTTAATCAATTAGGCTATTGATACTTGTGTATGCTTCATATTTCCCTTCTCTACTACCCTAGCAGAACTCCTCCATGAAGGCCCCACCTCTGCAGCAAATTTCTGCCTGGACATCCATACTTTTTCATACACTCTTTTAAATCTAGGTAGATGTTCCCAAACCTCAATTCTTGACTTCTGTGCATCCACAGGCTCAACACCACATGGAAACTGCCTATGCTTGGAGCTTGCATCCTCTGAAGCAATGGCCTAAGCTGTACTTTGGCCCCTATTAACCACAGCTGGAGCAGCTGGGATGCAGAACACCAAGTCACGAGGCTGCATATAGCAGGGGGCCCATGTTGAGAGAGGCTGCTTTGAAGGTCTCGGACATGCCCTGGAGACATTTTTCCTACTCTTTTGGTGATTAACATTCAGCTTCTTGTTACTTATGCAAATTTCTGTGGCAGGCTTGAATTTCTCCTCAGAAAATGGGTTTTTCTTTTCTATTGCATCCTCAGGCTGCAAATTTTCCAAACTTTTATGTTCTGCTTTCTCTTGAATGCTTTGCTGCTTAGAAACTTCTTCAGCCTGATACAATAAATAATCTTTCTCAAGTTCAAAGTTCCACAGATCTCTAGAGCAGGGGCAAAATGCCGCCAGTCTATTTGCATAGCAAGAGTGACATTTACTCCATTTCCCAAAAAGTTCCTCATCTCCATCTGAGACCACCTTAGCCTGGACTTTATTGTCCATTTCACTATCAGAATTTTGGTCAAGGCTTTCCAACAAGTATGTAGGGAGTTCCAAACTTTCCCACATCTTTCTGTCTTCTGAGCCCTCCAAGTCTCTAGGAAGTTCCAAAGTTTCCCCAATTTTTTCCATCTTCTTCTGAGCCCTCCAAACTGTTCCATCCTTTGCCTGTTACCCAGTTCCAAAGTTGCTTCCACATTTTTGGGTATCCTTATAGCAGCACCCAACTCCTGGTACCAATTTACTGTGTTGGTTCCATCTCATGCTGCTAATGAAGACATACCTGAGACTGGGTAACTTATAAAGAAAAGAGGTTTAATTGATTAACAGTTCCACATGGCTGGTGGGGGTCTCAGGAAACTTATAATCATGGCCGAAGGGAAAGCAAACACATCCTTCTTCACATGGCAGCAGCAAGTAGAAGTGCTGAGTGAAGGGTGGGGAAGCCCCTTATAAAATCATCAGATCTCATGAGAACTCACTCACTGTCATGATGCCAGGATGGGGGAAACTGCCCCCATGATTCAGTTATCTCCATCAGGTCCCTCCCAAGACACATGGGGATTATGGGAGCTGTAATTCAAGATGAGATTTGGGTGGGAACACAGCCAAACCATATCAGTCAGTGAGGAATCTATTGGAAAACTCCAGGAAAAGATGATGGTGTAGCACAAAGGTGCAGTAGGGAGGTTTTACGGGATGAAGAAAGCAGAAATGACTTGTCTTCCAGGTTTAATTTAGAAACTGAGCTCTTAACCACTGTGTGCTGCCCCCCACTGAGACCACTTTCAGCTCAAAAAATATCTAAGGAAGTAGGTATAAACTGCCTTTATAATGGCTGATCATTTCATGAAGTGAAGCTTCAGACCGTTCAAGGGAAAACTATTTTCATAGCCAAATTTCAAGTCCTTTCCACCCATCAAAGCCTTTATCAAGTTTTAAGAGTTATTCTGGCTCTAACTTGAAATCCTGTTGCATTATATTTAATACTGCATGGTCTCTTTCACATCTTTGTGTAGGTTTTTATGATTCCTCAACTTTATCATGAACCCTTTAGGGAGGAAGACAAGATTGCATTTATTCCCAACATTGCCTGAAATAACATAGATGTCCTAAAATAAAATAGATGCTCTGAAATTTTTAAAGATTGTCTGATCGATTGATATTCACTGGAATCTCACCTTGAAAGTGGCCTACAAATAATGCAGATGTCAAGTTATTTTTAAATTCTGATATAGAAAGAAAAGAAGAAAATAAAATGTTTGTGCTGTATGTGTAAATACATGCAGAATAGGAAGAAGAAATAACAATATGTGATACTTAAAAAAGAATTTATTATAAAAGTAAAATTCTTCATATTTATATAGCTCATTATTGTTTACTTAGTCCTTTTATTCAAATTATTTAATTTTATCACTGTAGCTCACCATGATTTTATTCTCATATTGATATTTTTTGGAAAAGTTCAAAATTATCTGATGAAAGATGCCTAATGTATCGAGGGAAAAATCAAGCCATGTATTTAAATTTCATGCAGTGTACCTTTAGGATTTATATTTTATATTAACTAGTGAAAAGCAGAAAAGATAATTAAGCAAGAGTGCATTCTGCTGACCTGAAAGTAGTGTTAATTCTACTGTAAATATTTTTACTTTTTTCAAATATGTTCCATGCACAGATCTGCACACATTGGTTCTCACAGGTGAATTAAGCACATCCTTAAAGATGACCTATCTGTCCTTCTTCAGGACCTCACCACTTGGTATGGGTTTTAAATGTAATTTACTAGTATATCCTTTTTTTCTTCAACCACACAAAGGCCATTAATTATGCTTATCTGTGTGCAACATTGCACAGTGTCATATTAACTCCTATGCATGCCTGTAGCTCCGATGGCTCCCAGATAGAATTACCACATCTAGGGTCTCAACACTTCTTCAGCTTTTCACCATGCATCGCTTCCATTGAACTCTTAATACCTTAATACAGCTCTCTCTCTATTATATGTGCTAATGACACAGCAGGGTAAGTGACAGCCACAGAAAACTTGTAACCTCAATTTAGCCTTTGATCCTCCCCCTTACTGCCCTTTACATGAGTTGCTAATGAGCAGTGAAGTTGACAGATTGAAGTATCACCTCTTTCTGCCCTCTGATAAAGTGTTAATAAAAATGAATATGACAAGGGTTTAACAGGACATTAGGAAGAGGAAAGCAAAGTCCTGGCTGACCTATATGACTGTCAGCTCTCCTTCATAATTAAGTTTATTTTAGATATTTCCTTTACAAATTATCCCATAAGTTGGGGTTGAATATTGTACTCTTCCTGTTTCTGACTCTGTGACCGAAGAAGTCATTGAGTACTTTCAAATCACAGATTTTTCATCTATTCAGATCAGTCAACTAAAATATTCACGGCAATTTCATGACTCAAAAGTATAAGACATAGCTTTCCATTTCAGATTTGGTCTCTTCCAATTTCTCACTAATAGATTCATAAAAACACAAAAAAGGATTGCAAGTCATAACAGAAAATCATGACTCAAAGCCATCTTATTGCCAGGAAATGAGAGGATTTTCTACTAACTGCATGATCGATGGAGCTGACTTCAGAATCCCACATGGTTGCTTATGCATATTTTGCTGCCATAAGTGGAACATATCTACCAGGTTAAAGACAAACAAAGGGAAATGTTGTACCCTCATTACTCCCAAAATCCTTCACAGAGACTCAGAGGATATTGCAACAGGAAATTCAGCAGCTATTCTTCAGAACAGGATACTTTCGGAAGCAACCCACTTCCCTAATGCCTCTTTTTCTACTTCTCTTCAGAGACTAACCTGGAAACCAACACAACAGGAAATACGAAGTAAAGAGAGCTAACAATGATTTACGCCACATTAGAGATCTAGCATTTTACTTCTTTGAGTCATAACAACACACGGTAGAAACAGACTCTGGAAACAATGTATATTGATATGTACAAGGTCCCTCTCAGGAGAAAATACCACTAAATTCAGAGCTATTCTAAAGTGATGCCTGTTGGAAGACGGAATTTGAAGAGAAACTATATTTTTTTTTTATTTTTTATTTTTATTTTATTTATTTATTTTTTTTGAAATGGAGTCTTGCTCTGTCACCAGGCTGGAATGCAGTGGCACAGTCTCGGCTTACTGCAACCTCTGCCTCCCGGGTTCAAGCGATTCTCCTGCCTCAGCCTCCCGAGTAGCTGGGATTACAGGCGTGCACCACTACGCCCAGCTAATTTTTGTACTTTTAATAGAGACGGGGTTTCACCATGTTGGCCAGGATGGTCTTGATCTCTTGACCTTGTGATCCGCCCACCTCGGCCTCCCAAAGTGCTGGGATTACAGGCGTGAGCCACCGTGCCCGGCCAGAAGAGAAACTATAAAATACCAACTTGTCTTCCAGCTGAAGATCTGAGAAGGTGATTTTACCAAGGTCCAAGTAGACAGGAAGCCAGATAGGGAAGAAACCACTTATCCTGCTTATTGGTAAATGTCAGGATTGGAGACAAGTCTGCCATTTCAGCATGAGTAAATGAAAATAACATGGAATTCTGAAAATATGGAGCAGCAGAAGAAAGGGAAGATCATCCTGAAAATTTAGAGTAAAAGATATTTTTCAAAATAATTTACTACCATAACCAGAGAACATTTTTAAAAGAATAGTATTATCAAAAGAGGCTGTAAGATTTTATGATTTCATTTATGAAAGAAAATCATGAAGAAAGAACATGTCGATTGAAGACAACACAATAAGTTATAAAGACAATATGCTGAGATATATTGTCTGATCTGAGTGAAATAAAGAAGGATTAAAAGGAATTAAAAATGCAAAATGAGAAAGAAGATGATGCTAAGAAGAGGAGACAATAGAGATTTGGTCCTCCAGTGATAGGTATTCTCAAAGGAGAAATCAAGATATTAATGAAGAGGGAATCCCTAAAACTGAAAAACATTGTCTAAATGTGTCAATTTAAATCATTTATCTTATTTCTTGAAAAATTATTGAGAATAGTCCCATATTTAGATACATGTATTACTTAAATGTTTTAAATATAATATTTTAAATATACAAAACATAAAATTATTATAGTGAATACCCTAGTACCCACTATGCAGATTTAGCAAAAGCAAACATTTTGCTGCACTTGCACAAATACTTTTCTTTAAGAAGTAAAGCTTTATGTGTACTATTAAAGCTTCCCAAACTTATTTCTTTCCTCCTCAGAAATAACAACTATCCTAAAGTTGATATGGATCCATGTTTTATAATGTCCTATACCTATATGAATTCATAAATTATACACAGGACTGATTTTTATATCTTAACATTACATAAATATCATCTGTGTGGTCCTTGTAGATTAATTTAAGAATTTCATTTTTCATGTTGAATGAGATAAGAAACCATTGGAGGACTTTGGGCAAAGGAATAGCATGCTCTCACTTGGATTTAAAAAGACTCTCTGACAAACTAGGAAGCTAAGGGTAGAGGCGGATGAGATTAGCTTGGACCAAGAGTGATACAAGAGTAAGAGTAAGAAGTGAATATATTCTGAACCTATTTTCAAGATAGTGCCAAAAGCATCATTTCTAGCCTATTCATACTTGTATCCCCAGTGCCCATCACAAGGTATCACACATGGTAGGCTTGAAGTGTGCTATGAATGAATACTCCTTCTACGCTACCCCAAATTTTCATTCTACATGTGGTAGGAAGGATTAGCAGGAGGCAAGAACTGCTAACTGTAATGTAGTCTATATCACACATTGATGTAGGTAAACTTTCTCTAAATTATAGTCCACATAACACTGGTACTATCAGATTATATTGATTAATTATTTTGTGGAAATATAAGCTGACCATTTAAATTAGATAAGTTAAAATATTCAAAATACACTTTATGTAGAATCAATTCTCAATGATGCCTGTATAGGTTAGCTGGCCACAGTTTATCCTGGCCCTCAGGCTCTTGGAAATGTTTTCTGTAGTCTTGATACTTGAAGCTTGATACTTGAGCTTGGCTGAATATATAATCTCGTTCATACTCTTTTTTTCTTGAGTGTTTTGAAAAGGCTGCTTCATTGTTTGTTTTCTTACTTTGATTTTGAGAGGTCAAATGCAGTCTGTTATCTTGCCCTTATAAATTATTTATTATTATTATTATTTTTTGGCCTGGAGATGCTCAGGACATTTTTAAAGTCTAATAATTATATTAGGATATGTCTCAGTGCTGATCACGGCAGGTCAATTTTCCCTGATACTGGGCCTTGTTTTGTTTTGTTTTGTTTTCGAGAAAGGGTCTTACTCTGTCACCCTGGCTGGAGTGCAGTGGTGCGATCTTGGCTCACTGCAGCCTCGACCTCTCGGGCTCAAGCGGTCCTCCCATCTCAGCCTACCGAGTAGCTAGGAGCACAGGCACGTGCCACCACACCCAGCTAAGTTTTGTATTTTTTGTAGAGATGGGGTTTTGCCGTATTGCCCAGGTTGGCCTTGAACTCCTGGACTCAAGTGACTCACCCGCCTTAGCCTCCCAAAGTGCTGGTATTACTGGTGTGAGCCAATGTGACTGGCCACTTTTCTATTTCATAAAACAGAAACAAAGAAACAATTTGTAACTTCAGATCTTTAAGGAGAATGTCACAAAATTCACTCACAGAAAAGAGCAGTGACAAGAAAGTGTCGGGAATGAGCATTGGCTGTTTTCTGGACAGGACCAGCTCATGAGTAAAACATGGCTCTGAAATGAGGCAGCATCTTGGAAGAGCAGTTGTTGAGAAAATGGAAGTTCCTGTTATTAGAAGAGAGAAAAAAATGCTAATTTTTTATTCAGACTTAACATTTTCTTTCCAAAACCACAAAGTTCTGCCTAGTTAGCATAATTGGGTTTACTACATCTGATTTTTTAATACAACATTTAGAAAAATCATATGTATTTGAAAAAGTAAAAACCATCATAAAGACCAAGATAGAAAATCCTCTAATGTCTTATTTAATAAAGTTTATGGCACATAATTTTAAACATCTTTTCAAGTTCAAAGAAATTATTGGGTATAATATCTACTTTGTGGTGGCTTTTAAAAAAATCTAGTGAGATACTTGATACCTTTAAGAGAAATACTGGATTTTTCTGCATTTTTTAAGTGCTTTAGGTTTGTTGCTGCATTTTTTTAAAATTTTATTTTATTATTATTGTACTTTAAGTTTTAGGGTACATGTGTACAATGTGCAGGTTAGTTACATATGTATACATGTGCCATGCTGGTGTGCTGCACCCATTAACTCGTCATTTAGCATTAGGTATATTTCCTAAAGCTATCCCTCCCCCCTCCCCCCACCCCACAACAGTCCCCAGAGTGTGATGTTCCCCTTCCTGTGTCCATGTGTTCTCATTGTTCAATTCCCACCTTTGAGTGAGAATATGCAGTGTTTGGTTTTTTGTTCTTGTGATAGTTTACTGAGAATGATGATTTCCAATTTCATCCATGTCCCTACAAAGGACATGAACTCATCCTTTTTTACGGCTGCATAGTATTCCATGGTGTATATGTGCCATATTTTCTTAATCCAGTCTATCATTGTTGGACATTTGGGTTGGCTCCAAGTCTTTGCTATTGTGAATAGTGCCACAATAAACATACGTATGTGTGTATGTGTCTTTATAGCAGCATGATTTATAGTCCTTTGGGTATACACCCAGTAATGGGATGGCTGGGTCAAATGGTATTTCTAGTTCTAGATCCCTGAGGAATCACCACACTGACTTCCACAATGGTTGAACTAGTTTACAGTCCCACCAACAGTGTAAAAGTGTTCCCATTTCTCCACATCCTCTCCAGCACCTGTTGTTTCCTGACTTTTTAATGATTGCCATTCTAACTGGTGTGAGATGTTATCTCATTGTGGTTTTGATTTGCATTTCTCTGATGCCCAGTGATGGTGAGCATTTTTTCATGTGTCTTTTTGGCTGCATAAATGTCCTCTTTTGAGAAGTGTCTGTTCATGTCCTTCACCCACTTTTTGATGGGGTTGTTTGTTTTTTTCTTGTAAATTTGTCTGAGTTCATTGTAGATTCTGAATATCAGCCCTTTGTCAGATGAGTAGGTTGCAAAAATTTTCTCCCATTCTGTAGGTTGCCTGTTCACTCTGATGGTAGTTTCTTTTGCTGTGCAGACGCTCTTTAGTTTAATTAGATCCCATTTGTCAATTTTGGCTTTTGTTGTCATTGCTTTTGGTGTTTTAGACATGAAGTCCTTGCCCATGCCTATGTCCTGAATGGTAATGCCTAGGTTTTCTTCCAGGGTTTTTATGGTTTTAGGTCTAACGTTTAAGTCTTTAATCAATCTTGAATTAATTTTTGTATAAGGTGTGAGGAAGGGATCCAGTTTCAGCTTTCTGCATATGGCTAGCCAGTTTTCCCAGCACCATTTATTAAATAGGGAATCCTTTCCCCATTGCTTGTTTTTCTCAGGTTCGTCAAAGATCAGATAGCTGTAGATATGCGGTGTTATTTCTGAGGGCTCTGTTCTGTTCCATTGATCTATATCTCTGTTTTGGTACCAGTACCATGCTGTTTTGGTTACTGTGGCCTTGTAGTATAGTTTGAAGTCAGGTAGCGTGATGCCTCCAGCTTTGTTCTTTTGGCTTAGGATTGACTTGGTGATGCGGGCTCTTTTTTGGTTCCATATGAACTTTAAAGTAGTATTTTCCAATTCTGTGAAGAAAGTCATTGGTAGCTTGATGGGGATGGCATTGAATCTATAAATTACCTTGGGCAGTATGGCCATTTTCACGATATTGATTCTTCCTACTCATGAGCATGGAATACTCTTCCATTTGTTTGTATCCTCTTTTATTTCATTGAGCAGTGGTTTGTAGTTCTCCTTGAAGAGGTCCTTCATGTCCCTTGTAAGTTGGATTCCTAGGTATTTTATTCTCTTTGAAGCAATTGTGAATGGGAGTTCACTCATGATTTGGCTCTCTGTTTGTCTGTTATTGGTGTATAAGAATGCTTGTGATTTTTGTACATTGATTTTGTATCCTGAGACTTTGCTGAAGTTGCTTATCAGCTTAAGGAGATTTTGGGCTGAGACAATGGGGTTTTCCAGATATACAATCATGTCATCTGCAAACAGGGACGATTTGACTTCCTCTTTTCCTAATTGAATACCCTTTATTTCCTTCTCCTGTGTAACTGCCCTGGCCAGAACTTCCAACACTATGTTGAATAGGAGTGGTGAGAGAGGGCATCCCTGTCTTGTGCCAGTTTTCAAAGGGAATGCTTCCAGTTTTTGCCCATTCAGTATGATATTGGCTGTGGGTTTTTCATAGATAGCTCTTATTATTTTGAGATACATCCCATCAATACCTAATTTATTGAGAGTTTTTAGCATGAAGCGTTGTTGAATTTTGTCAAAGGCCTTTTCTGCATCTATTGAGATAATCATGTGGTTTTTGTCTTTGCTTCTGTTTATATGCTGGATTACATTCATTGGTTTACGTATGTTGAACCAGCCTTGCATCCCAGGGATGAAGCCCACTTGATCATGGTGGATAAGCTTTTTGATGTGCTGCCGGATTCGGTTTGCCAGTATTTTATGGAGGATTTTTGCATCAATATTCATCAAGGATATTGGTCTAAAATTCTCTTTTTTGGTTGTACCTCTGCCCGGCTTTGGTATCAGGATGATGCTGGCCTCATAAAATGAGTTAGGGAGGATTCCCTCTTTTTCTATTGATTGGAATAGTTTCAGAAGGAATGGTACCAGTTCCTCCTTGTACCTCTGGTAGAAGGAATAGGTGTGGTGTGGTGCTGAAAAAAATGTATATTCTGTTGATTTGGGGTGGAGAGTTCTATAGATGTCTATTAGGTCCACTTGGTGCAGAGCTGAGTTCAATTCCTGGGTATGCTTGTTAACTTTCTGTCTCATTGATCTGTCTAATGTTGACAGTGGGGTGTTAAAGTCTCCCATTATTATTGTGTGGGAGTCTAAGTCTCTTTGTAGGTCACTCAGGACTTGCTTTATGAATCTGGGTGCTCCTGTATTGGGTGCATACATATTTAGGATAGTTAGCTCTTCTTGTTGAATTGATACCTTTATCATTATGTAATCATCAGGAGGAAATTCAAACCAAAGGCAAAGAAGTTGAAAACTTTGAAAAAAATTTAGATGAATGTAAAACTAGAATAACCAATACAGAGAAGTGCTTAAAGGAGCAGATGGAGCTGAAAGCCAAGGCTCGAGAGCTACGTGAAGAATGCAGAAGCCTCAGGAGCCGATGCGATCAGCTGGAAGAAAGGGTATCAGTGATGGAAGATGAAATGAATGAAATGAAGCAAGAAGGGAAGTTTAGAGAAAAAAGAATAAAAAGAAACGAACAAAGCCTCCAAGAAATATGGGACTATGTGAAAAGACCAAATCTATGTCTGATTGGTGTACCTGAAAGTGACGGGGAGAATGGAACCAAGTTGGAAAACACTCTGCAGGATATTATCCAGGAGAACTTCCCCAATCTAGCGAGGGAGGCCAACATTCAGATTCAGGAAATACAGAGAATGCCACAAAGATAATCCTCGAGAAGAGCAACTCCAAGATACATAATTGTCAGATTCACCAAAGTTGAAATGAAGGAAAAAATGTTAAGGGCAGCCAGAGAGAAAGGTCGGGTTACCCACAAAGGGAAGCCCATCAGACTAACAGTGGATCTCTCGGCAGAAACTCTACAAGCCAGGAGAGAGTGGGGGCCAATATTCAACATTCTTAAGGAAAAGAATTTTCAACCCAGAATTTCATATCCAGCCAAACTAAGCTTCGTAAGTGAAGGAGAAATAAAATACTTTACAGACAAGCAAATGCTGAGAGATTTTGTCACCACCAGGCCTGCCCTAAAAGAGCTCCTGAAGGAAGCACTAAACATGGAAAGGAACAACCGGTACCAGCCACTGCAAAATCATGCCAAATTGTAAAGACCGTCGAGGCTAGGAAGAAACTGCATCAACTAACGAGCAAAATAACCAGCTAACATCATAATGACAGGATCAAATTCACACATAACAATATTAACTTTAAATGTAAATGGACTAAATGCTCCAATTAAAAGACACAGACTGGCAAATTGGATAAAGAGTCAAGACCCATCAGTGTGCTGTGTTCAGGAAACCCATCTCACGTGCAGAGACACACATAGGCTCAAAATAAAAGGATGGAGGAAGATCTACCAAGCAAATGAAAAACAAAAAAAGGCAGGGGTTGCAATCCTAGTCTCTGATAAAACAGACTTTAAACCAACAAAGATCAAAAGAGACAAAGAAGGCCATTACATAGCGTTGCTGCATTCATTAGGTTCTTTTCCTAGCATTGCCAACTCCAAATATTTACTTAAAATATGTAACTCTCCCCAGTAAACTATGCTTAGTCTTTTTTATTGTGGTAAAATACACATTACACAAAATATACCATTTTAACCATTTTTAAGTGTACAGTTCACTGGCATCAAGTAAATTCACATTGTTCTATAGTCATCACTGCCATTCATCTCCAGAACTTTTCATCTTCCCCAACTGAAGCTCTGTACCAATTAAACACTAACTTCTCATTCTCCTCTCCTCCAGTGCCTGGCAACCACAATTCCATCCTGTCTGTGAATTTGACTACTCTATGTATCTCATAAAAGTGATATCATACAGTATTTGTCTTTTTGTGAGTGGTTTATTAACTCAGCATTATGACTTCAAGGTTCATGTTGTAGCATATGTCAGAATTTCCTTCTCTTTTAAGGCTGAATAACATTTCATTGTATATGTATATCACATTATATTTATCCATTCATCCACTGATGGACACATGCGTTGGTTCTGCCATTTAGCTATTGTGAGTAATAATACTATGTACATGGGTATGCAGATATCTGTTTGAGCCCTTGCTTTCAATTCCTTTGAGCATATACCCAGAAAGGGAATTGCTTAATTGTGTAATAATTCTGTTTAACTTTTCTGAGGAAATATCATACTGTTTTCCATGCAGCTGCACCAGTTTATTTTCCCACTAGCAATTCACAAGGGTTTCAATTTTTCTATATTCCTGCCAATATTTGCCATTTTCTAGTTATTTTCCTTAACAGCCATCCTAATGGGTATGAAGTGGTTAGTCTTGTATCTTAAATGCCATTAATAGTCATTAATATATCTATTCAAGTTTACACGTAATCAAAAATTCTTACAAGATAGCTGATGACTTTTTTAAATTTATGGAATTGTATTTTTAACTTTAATTGAAATTTACTCAACATTGAACAACATTTACTCCAGCACACTGCTATTCCAGATCTACCAACAACATTTCTGAAGACTAAGCAGACAAAAAAAATTACTTATGGTTGTCAGAGAGAAGGTTACTGAGGCATCGGTGCCAGAATTCTTGCTTTGCTAATTTAATTCAATAGGCAAAATATACTCAGAGTAAAATGAAGCCAATGAAATCCTAATGTTTCCTTTCTGTGACATGAGAGAGAATTCCCAATTTAATCCTAATGACTATATTTATTAAGACATTCCCCCTCTTGCTATCATTATTTATTTTATATTCTTTTCCCAAACTCTTTCCAAAGACCAAGTCTCAAAATTGGCCAGACTTTGCCTTACTTCCACCTTAAGCCCAAATGGTTTTTTAACTAGAGAAAGAATGCCTGTCAAAGCTGAGTTAAGGAATAGGCCTTTAAGGTGAACTAAAACATCACCTAAATAAATTAAAATTATGCTTTCACATCACTTAGTTTCTTCATTCACTTTCTTACATAAAGCTGACAAATTGTAAATTGGTTACTTTCCTACCAAAGTATGTAGCACTCTTTAGTTGGGGAGGGAAGGTAGTGGCTCTAAACTCTCTCTGCTGAATACTCAACGTGATATTGGCTAAAGTCAATAGCTGCAGTTGATTGAAATTCTGAAACCAAATAATGCATGGCATAAACCTGTTTACTGTTGATTCAGTGGGCTATTTGTTATATAAATCAAAATTTAAAAGGCTTTGTTACCCTTTCTCAGAAGTTTCCTGGTTTCACAAAAGAAACTGAAGAGATTAAGAGACACAAAAATATAGAAACTGTTTTACGGCCGGGCGCGGTGGCTCACGCCTGTAATCCCAGCACTTTGGGAGGCCGAGGCGGGCGGATCACGAGGTCAGGAGATCGAGACCATCCTGGCTAACACGGTGAAACCCCGTCTCTACTAAAAATACAAAAAATTAGCCGGGCGAGGTGGCGGGCGCCTGTAGTCCCAGCTACTCGGGAGGCTGAGGCAGGAGAATGGCGTGAACCCCAGGGGGCGGAGCCTGCAGTGAGCCGAGATTGCGCCACTGCACTCCAGCCTGGGCGACAGCGAGACTCCGTCTCAAAAAAAAAAAAAAAAAAAAAAAAAAATATAGAAACTGTTTTACACACATGGAAGCCAGAGAAAACATGATTTAGACATGAACTTGATTTGAAAATGACTTTGTAACTAAGGTCAAGAAGGACACTATATCAGTAAAAGTCTATCAGGAAAGAGACTGCACACTCAAACTGGGTAACTGAAAAGGATTTAATAGAGGGAGTATCTACAAGTTGTGAGTAAGATTTAGGGAAACCAATAAGAGACTTTGCCATCCAGTGAGGCATCATCACTCCTAGGCCTGCATGGGCAATGAAAGAGTGTTTTCCAGAAACCAGGGCAAGGATGAAGCCCCTCTGCAGCAATCAGCAGGGAGTAATCTAGGGGAATAGGTACCCCAATTTTTCCTCTTCGTCTCCCATTAGCTGTTGATGCTTCCTGTTGTCTGAATCTAATTGGAAGCCAGAGGACAAAGTACCCCATGGATGTAGTCCATCAGCCTCCTGTAGCAAAGAGCAAGGGGTAGAAGTGTGGTGAGTGTATCCAGCAGGGCTGCCTCTGTTTTTAGAGATTCTGTGTAATTAACACTATTCAGTTATAAGTAATAATTGAGAAATAACTACTGAGAAAAAAAGACTATCGAAATAAATTAAAATATGTTTTATATTCCGTGGCTACTATAAACTTAAAATGTTCAATACAAAGAGATATGTAACTTCTATCACTTAAAAAATAATTTTTTTTCTCCCACTGGTAAACAAATGTGAAACCAGTATCTAAGAATGGAAATTAGGGAAAGTCTCAGTTACCATTCTGCCTGAGACTCTCATCTACTGAAATCCACTTCTGGTTGGACTGATCTAAAAACAATTGGATGGCCTTTCTACTTACTTCTGATAAATGCAGGTACATTGTTTTAGCACCTTTGATGTAGTGAGGTGAATATTTTTCATAAATGTTTGTTAACAGTAACTCCATTTTGATAGGCCGACAACATTTCTTCATTCTTAGCCTATAATAAAGTTTCACCTTAGACATTGTGGTTTGCATCTCTAGATGTTTAATTGGGCTCTTCGCTATATCTTCCGTCTCCACTTAAATTTTTAAACACATAGAATACAATTATAATAGCTTTCAATGTACTTGTTGGCTAATTCTAACATCTGTGTCAGGTCTGGTTTGGTTTCAAATTAATTGGTTATTCTCAATACGGGTTTATATTCAAATATGTATACCACTACTTTTTTGCATGCTAATAATTTTTTATTGGATGCCAGAATTTGTGGATTGTACATTTGGGATGCTGAATGTTCTTATACTCCTATAAATATTCTTGAGCTTTGATGTAGGATATAATTAATTTACTTGGAAACAGTTTGATCCATTCAGATCTTGCTTTTCAGCTTTATTAGGTGGGAACAGAGCAGCTTTTAATTTTGATCTAATTTTGCCCCACTACTGAGGAAAAATTCTTCTGAGTATCCTACAAATGTTTGATTTATGAGGTTTTCTACTCTGGCTGGTGGGAAAATAGGAATTATTCCTGGTCCTGTGAAATCTCTAAAGATAATTACTTGTAGTTCTTTCCAGAGGTTCATGTCCCAGCCTTGGTCTTTTCCTCACAAGTGTGTGATGATCAGTCTTCAGATGAAGATTCAGAGACCCTCTGCAGCTCTCCAGGGTGCTCTGCTGTGCAGCTCTCTCATTTCCACTGCTCCACAAACTCTGACTACCTTGGCCTGCCTGGAGTCCCAGCTCCATCTCCTCTTCCCAGGGATAATGCTGGGCTCCACCTGGGTCCCCCCTCCATGAGCCATGGCCTGGAAACTCTCCTGGAGAGGGGTAGTAAGCTGGGGCAATCATGCTACATCAATTTCCTATCTCTTTATGATTACTGTTCTTCATTGTCAGACGTCTGAATTCTTGAAAGACAATTGTTTCACATTTTTCCCAATTTTCTAGTTATTTTAGGTGTGAGGATAAATTTAGTCCCTGCTACTTCATGTTAGCCAAAGGCGGAATTTCTTGCTACTGTTAAGCACTGCTTTTATTTCGAGTTAAAAGAGGATTTTTAATATAATTATCAATATTTCTTTAGGCTACATATTTTTAAAACATAATACAAATTACTTTTCCCATGGATGACTTTTAAACTAGAAAATAAGTACTAGTAGCCATTATTATTGGATTTCAAATCATTTTTATATAAACATCAATCTGAGGACATTAACTTTTTTCTGATAAGTACAAGAAAATTATGCTGCTTCTATTTCCAATATTTTAGAACATTTCATTCAAGCAATATTTCTGAACCCAAAGAAGAAATTTTGAAATAGGTGCCTTTCATCCTTGTGCCTTGACCACAGCCTTCACCTCCACCTTCACCAACATCACTTTTATTTATCTTAAAGATAAATTGTCTTCTGGTTTGTGATGCCTGCTTCCACTACAAGTAAAAATTAGAGCTCTCACAGTCTTTTTCAAGGCTATCAGATGGCACTAGCTACAACTGTAACCAAAGGACAGTTTAACACTTCAAAGTAATGCCAACTAATTACATCACGGGTTAGCCAACAATTCAGACATTCCATGCATCCCTTCTTCTCTAACATTCCAGTGTGTACTGGGACTTAGAAAGTATAGATGCGGTCTGTCCCTGGAAAATGCCAGATGTGTATAATGATATACATTATTCAAGAATAAGCAATCTTTATGTGAACACTGGTTCTAAATGATGCTTAACTACCTGCTGTAGTCAATAAACACAGGATGTGCTGTATATATATCAGAACCGCATCCATAATCAAAATTCTTTAGTTATGTCTACTATAGTATTAAAGATTTTGCCTTTTACTCTAGAGCTCTGAGATTATCAGGGATTCTTCAGGAAAATCTACTTATTTTAACCAACACATGGCATTAATTAGGATTAAACTATTGAAGATGATTGGAAAATAAAACAATACATTTTTCTACTAAAAGGTATACATTATTCTGTTAAATTTCTCCTTTCTATATTGATGGAATCATAAGAAATGAAAAGATATTCAGTTTTGCGATAAACACTGGCCAAGGGGTGACTGGATCTCTTCTTTGGTAACTATTGAAAAAATAAACAGGAAAATCCAAATTGTCCAATTCTTTAAAATGGGGCCTGCTTAATTTCCCTATTTGCTTATACTCTAAACAGAATTTTTTACACGTAATAAAATCTGTATTTTACATTTGCATAGAGTAGGTAACTATCTTGCAAAATAAGAAAACAATTGAGGACGCAAGATAATCATTAATGTATGTTTTGAAATTTCAGTAAATAATGTTTGCTAAATGCTTTAAAATAAGACAGATGGAGAAATGATTATTTTTCTGAAAAAGAAAAAAAATGGTATTGGAATCTATCAATCAGGGCTTTTCATCTGGCAAATTTCTATCAGAGGTTCCTTCCTCCCTGATGGGGTAGACCAGGCCTTCCTGCCACATGATGTGTGTTCTGACCCCCACATCACATTCCCTTCCCTCCCTCTTCACTCAGCCTCCCAGGGAGCTTCCTTGTCTCAAGAAGTCGGAACCAACACAGCCTCCACCCCTCTTCCTGGCTGAATGAGCTAGTATCCCCAGTTTGCTTGCTTCCCATTCTCCCTTTTTCCTCCCTTCAGTGCAGTAGTCAAATGTAGAATTTTCATAATCCTGGCCCACCACCTCGCCCCCTCAACTTCTCCACCAGTACGTCACTGACTACTCGGTCACCCATTGTCCGTTGGCAATTAATGCCTTCAGAAATTTTATCATTGTTCAGTTTCCCAGGGTATATGTAGATTATTCCCTCATAAAAGTCTCATCCAAATTCCACCATTGCAGTTGTAATAAATTCAGAAGTAAACAAGTGAGACCAGAATGCAAGTGTCAGGGATGTCCCAATTTATACAACTCAAAGGTCATCAAACTATAGGCCTCTTGAGGACATAAGTCAGTGCCCAATGACAGCTGTTGAATTATGCAATTAAAGCCAATAATTTAATACTTTAATTTTCATCTGGTTATTGGCATGTAAACACTGAATTAGACTGATGTAATAAAATTTTATAAAATTCTAGTTAAACTCTAACACCTTAAATAGCTTAAGCTAATTAAAACTTGATACATTTCAAAATCTCCAAAGACATTTGTACATCATAAGAAATGACTGGAACAATGCTATGTATGTGTAAGTCTGTAAGTAGGACAAAGATTAATTTGTAGTTATTAAATATAGCATTTTTCCCAAGTAACATAGAGAACATTTTTTTTAGATTAATCTCTCTACCTCAGCTCTTTGGCCTCTCCATTACCTGGCATTTCCAGGCTTTAGTGTCTATATTCAATAAATTATTACACTCTGTAGAGTGTCATCTATTCATTTTGTTTTTCGCAGTAGTATTTTTTGCATCATTAGAATTAGTATTCCGTTTTTTCAATCTAGGTAAGATAATTCCTATTTTAAATTGATCCTATACAGCTTCTATATACTGTATTAGCTGTTAATTTCCTATTAAACTTTTCATATAAGTAGCAATAACCTTCCATGTGTCTTGGTTCTCAAAAGCACCTATGACATAGTACACACCTCACTCCAGCCTTACTTGCATCCCAGCTTATAAATGATTCATAAGCGGTGCTAGGATTGTTGCAGGTCAGTCTGGACTCAGGGTTTCCATGTCAAAGTACTCATCTGTAACCAATACAGTGCCGTGCATTTTCTATACTTTTCAGTCAATGTCTGCTAACTGAATTAAAGGGAAATACAAGAATTTCTCTCATAAAGCAATATGCAGAATTAGGCAATATGCAGAAATTTATCAAAGCCATATGCAAAAATGTGTAGTGTAAAATGTGCTTGTTTCTTAGGGCATTAAAGAATACTGCCTTACTAGTTAATTAAGGAGAGTGGAAAACTTTGAAAATATAATTTTTATTATGTTTAAATTCAAGACACTTTCTGGAAAAATTATGGAAAAGTAAGTCTATCAATGTCGAGCTTTTGACTATGTGCTTTCCTGGAGCTGTGACGTATCTATAAAGCATTGTTCTGTATGCTTTTAGATATTTGAAGAGTTTTCAAATGTACTCAACACTGCTCAAATGGTTTATATGCAATAATCTTTTTATATACATGTTGCTCTGCCTAAATGATTTCTATTATAAATATTCAGATCTCAAAAAAAGTCATTAGTAAAAATAACCTGTTGACATTGTAATTAATATTAATAGTCTCTGCTATAAATAATTATATTACTAAAGTTAAAACCACATATTTTATTATTATGGGTTATTCTAATAAAACTGCCCAAACTACCTAGAGCAGAATAGGTGGCCTGTAACTTCAGCACAGACCCTCCAGACCACAGGCAGGCAGGAGACATGCCTTTAGTCTCCACAGCTGACATTTGATATTTTTTTCACCTCAAGAGTTTCTAATTTATTTATTTTTATTTGTTTTAATTTTTAATTTTTGTGAGTATATTATATATATAATACATATATATAAATATCCTATGTACTCTCTCTATATATTTTTTTGATACAGGCATACAATGTGTAATAATCACATCAGGGTAGGTGGGGTATCCATCACCTCAAGCTTCTTTTCTTAACAAAAATACAAATATACTATTTTAGTTATTTTAAAATGTATAATAAACTGTTGTTGACTGTAGTCATCTTGTTGTGCTATCAAATACTAAGTCTTATTCATTCTATCTAACTATATTTTTCTACCCACTAATGAGCACTATTTCCCCACCATCCACTACCCTTCCCACCCACCGAATTTCTCTGATGATCAATGATGTTGATCATCATTTTACTCTCTTGTCTCCATGAGGTCTGTGTTTTTAATTTTTAGTTTCCACAAATAAGTAAGAACATGTGAAGTTGGTTTGCCTTTCTGTGCCTGGCTTATTTCACTTAACATAATATGTCCCAGTTCCATCTATATTGCTGCAAATGACACTATCTTATTGTTTTTTATGGCAGAATAGTACTCCATTGTGTTTACGTAACACATCTCCTTTATTCATTTATCTATTGATGGACATTTAGATTGTTTCCGAATATTGGCTGTTGTCAATAGTGCTGCAATAAACATGTAAGTGTAGACATATCTTCTACATTCTCATTTCCTTTCTTTTGGGATATACCTAGCAGGGGATTGCTGGATCATAATGGTAGTTTTTTGAGGAACCTCCAAACTGTTCTCCACAGTGGCTTTACTAATTTACATTCCTACCTCCAATTCTCTTTTCTCCACATCCTAACCAGCATTCATTATTCTATCTTTTGAATAAAAGCCATTTTAACTGGGGTGAGATGATATCTCATTGCAGTTTTGATTTGCATTTCTCTGATGATCAATGATATTGAGCACCTTTTCATATACCTGTTTGCCATTTCTATGTCTTCTTTTGAGAAATGTCTATTCAGATCTTTTGCCCATTTTAAAATCAGATTATTAGATTTTTTTTCCTGTAGAGTTTTTTGAGCTCCTTATATATTCTAGTTATTGTTCCTTTGTCAGATGGGTAGTCTGCAAATATTTTCTCCCATTATGTAGGTTGTCTCTTCACTTTGTTGACTGTTTCTTTTGCCACACAGAAGATTTTTAACATGATGTGATCCCATTTGTCCATTTTTGCTTTGGTTGCCTGTGCTTGTAGGATAATTACTCAAGAATTCTTTGCCTAGACCAATGTCCTGGAGAGTTTCCCCAAAGTTTCTTGTAGTAGTTTCATAGTTTGAGGTCTTAGATTTAAGTATTTAATCCATTTTGATTTTTTTTTGATATGGTGAGAGATAGGGGTCTAGCTCCATTCTTCTGCACATGGATACCCAGTTTTTCCAGAACCACTTATTGAAGGGATTGTCTTTTCCCCAGTGTATGTTCTTGGCACCTTTGTCGAGAATGAGTTCCCTGTAGACGTATGAATTTATATCTGGGTTCTCTATCCTGTTCCATTGGTCTATGTGTCTGTGTTTATGCCAGTCCCATGCTGTTTTGGTTACTATAGCTCTGTAGTATAATTTGAAGTCAGGTAATGTGATTCCTCCAGTTTTGTTCCTTTTGCTTAGGCTATCTTTAACTATTCTGAGTCTTTTGTGATTCCATATAAATTTTAGTATTATTTTTTCTATTTCTGCGAAGAATGTCATTGATGTATCTTTGTATGGTTTTGGTATCAGAGTAAAATTGGCCTTGTAAAATGAGTTTGGAAGTACACCCTCCTCCACTATTTTTCAGAATAGTTTGAGTAGGATTGATATTAGTTCTTCTTTAAATGTTGGGTAGAATTCAGTAGGCCCCGGGCTTTTCTTCTCTGGGAGACTTTTTATTATGGCTTCTATCTCATTACATGTTCTTTGTTCAGGTTTTGGATTTCTTCAGGGTTCAATTTTGGTAATTTTATGTGTCTAAGAATTTATCTATTTCTTCTAGATTTTCCGATTTCTTGGCATATAGTTGCTCATATCAGCCTCTAATGATCCTTTAAACTTTTGTGGTATCAACAGTAATCTGTACTTTTTCATCTCTGGTTTTATTTGTTTGGGCCTTCTCTCTTTTTTTCTTAGTCTAGCTAAAGTTTTGTCAATTGTGTTTATCTTTTCAAAAAAACAACTTTTCATTTTATCAATTTTTTTATTGTTTTCTTTGTTTGAATATCATTTATTTATGCTCTGATCTTTATTATTTCTTTTCTTCTACTAATTTTAGGTTTGGTTTGCTCTTGCTTTTTCAGTTCTTTAGACACATTATCAGGTTGTTTATTTGAAGTTCTTCTACTTTTTTAATGTAGATGCTTATTGCTATAAACTTTCCTTAGTATTGCATTTGCTGTATACAATAGGTTTTGGTGCATTGTTTTTCCATTATCATTTTTTTTTCAAGAAATTTTTAAGTTTCTTTCCTAATTTCTTCATTGACCCACTGGTCATTCCGGAGCATATTGTTTAATTTCCATGTGTTTGCATAGATTCCAAGCTGTTTCTCCTTCATGATTGAAGGATATTTTTTCCAGATATATTATACTTGTGTAAAAAATTTTTCCTTCAGCACTTCAAATACGTCATGCCACTCTCTCCTGGCCTGTAAAGTTTCCACTGAAAAGCCTGCTGCCAGACATATTGGAGCTCCATTATATGTTATTTGTTTCTTTTCTTTTGCTGCTTTTAGGATCTTTCTTTAGACATTTAGGACATTTAGGAATTTGATTATTAAATGCCTTGAGGTAGTCTTATTTGGGTTAAATCTGCTTGGTGTCCTATAACATTCTTCAACTTGAATATCATATCTTTCTCTAGCTTTGGGAAGTTATTCATTATTATCCCTTTGAATAAACTTCCTACCTCTCTCTCTTTCTCTACCTCCTTTTTAAGGCCAACAACTCAGATTTGCCCTTTTGAGGCTATTTTCTAGTTCTTGTAGGCATACTTCATAGTTTTTAGTCTTTTTTCTTTTGTCTCCTCCAAATGTGTGTTTTGAAATAGCCTGTCTTCAAGTTCACTAATTCTTTCTTCTGCTTGATCAATTCTGCTGTTAAGATACTCTGATGCATTCTTCAGTATGTCTAGTGTAATTTTCAGTTCCAGAATTTCTGCTTGATTCTTTTTAATGATTTCAATCTCTTTGTTAAATTTAACTGATAGGATTCTGAATTCCTTCTCTATGTTATCTTGAATTTCATTGAGCATCCTCAAACAGCTATTTTGAGTCGTCTGTCTGAAAGGTCACATATCTGTCTCTCCAGGATCGGTCACTGGTGCTTTATTGAGTTCACATGGTGAGGTCATGTTTTCCTGGATGGTCTCCATGCTTGTGAATGTTTGTCAGTGTCTGAGCATTGAAGTGTTATTGAAAAGTTATATTATTAAAGGACTTCAGGGAAAAGAAGTTTTTGTTTAGTAATTCCATGGGAGAAAATTGGATTGGAAGAAGCTAGAAAAATGTAGGATCCAGTTCAGTCTATAGGTAGATAATAAAACTTGAAAACATGTTTCAGACAGTAAGCCAATAACAAGTATATTGTATTCATCTCAATTTTTGCCAAATATAATCAGATTAAGACTAATTTGCTCTAAATAAATCTAATTTTATCAGATTTGGTCTTATTATTTACATAAATATAATAATAATAGTGATTAGATTTCATATTGGACTTAGAAAAATTTTCAAGGCTAGGAAAACAAGTCAAGGTGGGCTTTAGGTTTTACCTGTAGTACCTATAAACTGGTTTTTGTTTTCTAAAAATCTTTTTTGTGATTATAATTTATATCCCATAAAATTAACTGGTTTAAAATATACAATTCCATAGCATAGTATCTACAAACAACTTTAAATATGACAACCTAGTTAAATCTTGCTACTATTCTAAATTATATCTTGTTATAAAGAAAATATTTGTATTGAACTTATGTAAATAAATATGTGGTCATAAAATAAATATAGCCACAAATAGTTTTTGAATTTTGAAGGGACCAGATAGAGAGAAAAGGCAAATATTTTAATTCTGTTCACAGTATATTTTACCAAATTGTTGTACACTGGAGGGACCTTAGGAGTTTCCTCAAATCTGAAAAATAAAGAACCACAATTCATTAAAGAACCATAAATATTTTAAATAAATATTATAAAAATCATATTCCTTTATCAGTTTAGTCCATATAATTAATTCTTGCTTTGTCTGATCTTGGTTAGCAGTTTCATGAACTCCTCAATTATTTTTTATAAGCATTTTGGACATTTTTACTTCATGCATTGATTTTAAAGTTATCAGAAACTGTATTCAAAAGTACTTGTTAGAGTATTTTCTATGAATCTGATTGAAGATGCCTTTAGAGAAAAATCAAAATCGTAAATGACAAAAACTTAAAATAGCCATGGTTAAAAATCTGATGAGAATTTTTTGTTACTAACACAAGGAAATTTAGTCACTTCTACCATATTTTAAGATGACCAGAATTACGACTGACAGTGTCACAAAAGGACTATCAGACCTTTATAAATTTTACATAATTTTTAAAACATCAACACATCTACATAAATAAATTTTAAGAAAGATTTAGCATCACTAATTAGAGATGATTCAGCTTTTCTAAGTAATCAAAAACCTAATAAGGACAGCAGAAAGCACAAGAAACTATATGAATAAAACAAAAAAAAATCCTGTTTCTTAGGCTTATTACTTAAAACGTTAAAAAACAACCACATGCGCACATACACACACACACCTCCTGCAGTATTAGTGCTTCTCTTTATTGGAAGCCCATTTAGATAACCTTGAAGTAGAAACCTGTTGAAAAGGTATTTCAATTAAATTGGACACTGAAAGAGTGTATGTCCATGATTATGAGTGTACACCCTATTATAAAATAACAACGTAAACAAGAGAACCATTACCTTGAGCAGGGGAATCTATAGCTTTGAGAAAAAGTAAAAGTGTGTGAAATTATCTGTTTACATGGAACAATTTAGAGGCATCAGGAAAAGCCAAGAGTGTAGAATCAAGTTATAATGGAAGAGATATTGTTTTATTAGTCCTTTAAGACAAACTTTCTTAGTGTTAGACCACAATAGCAGAGTCAAACCTGGAAAAAGGCTACAGAAATGGATGAAAAGGTTAAGGAATAAAGTAACCACTCTAGTTAAGCAAAATATGTATCCTATTTTCAAGGAGCTAAGGAAGAAAAGCAGAAAGCAATGATGCATGACCTGCAAATCACACGTAGTGAGATGCAGTAAAAAGCCAAACCCTAGGCATATGAATCTGAAAGGCTTTAAGAGGAAAAGTCTACTCAAAAAATGTAATTATCATTTTAAGTGAAAACAGCACTTCTAACTTGAAATTAGGTAGAAGCTGTAAAACATGGAAAAGCTGTAGGTCACAAGATGGTTGAAAATTTAAAGAAATGGATTTGAGAATTAAAATCCAAACCTCTTGCAATTTTTTTTTTACTAAGAGTTGATCAACATTCTAGGAAAACCTTGTTGCTTCAAACACAGAGAATCAGATTCTGGTCCTGTATCAGCACACTCCTGACATTAATGCCCAGTTCTTAGAAAAACTTACAAGCAATTCCCTTCTAATCCCAGCCAACCCAATTACACACAAAATTCTCTTTACAAGATTTATAAACCCCCCATGACTTGTTTATACTTTTCATTATTATCTTAAACCCCACTCTTTGTCCTATACTGTGACAGTTCATAAATTAGAACTGTATAGGTCTAGAAGATTTCTTAGTAAAAAGAAACTATTTTCTCTTATCTATCAGAATGGCCAAACCACAAACTCGTGAGAGAAATTCAATCAGTAGTATTCTAAGGACTAACCTGATTCTAGAACTCTGGTTGTGACTTACTGGGTACTCCCATAAAGACAGAGTTTCAGATGAGATGTCTATTTGCATTTGGACTTTTTGGTAGGGTGTAAGCAGTGTGAAAGGAAAAAAACTTGGGACCCCAATTCACTATGCCAAAAGGAAAGAATTAAGCCAAAAGCTGTCATGCAAAAAAACTGCCTTTCCTATTGTTCCTAAGCAGTTAGCTACAGATAAAAGGTTAAATATCTGCACAGGTAGCTATTCTATGTTCACCTTATCTTATGTAAAGTGCCGATTTACTGAGCATGAGACTATTACATAATTCACGATTCCCCTGTCTGCTTCTTTTCTCTAACAACATGTGGATTACTGTACCCCTCCTCTTTCTCTCCAGCCTGCTTTTCCCCTTTAATTACTGAAGCCCTCAGAATCATCTTTGGAGAAAGGCACAAATCACAGACTGTTTCTGCGATGTTATGTTCTTTTCTTCCAGGCATGTCCTTAACCTTGGCAAAATAAACTTCTAAACTGATTGAGACCTGTCACAGATACTTTTTGGTTTAGAACAGAAAGGCATTTATTAACACTTCCGCCTGGTTTCTGAGTTATTCCCAAACAAAGCCACAAATAGAGTTAGAATCATAGAACAGTTAAAAAGGTTTTTAGTGATTTTTGTTTCACATGTGTATGAAGTGAGGCTCAGAGCCACAAGAATTTTGGTGCCAGGGTCATCCTGGAAGTAATTGGAGCAGGACCCCTCAGCCAAGGCCTCTTACAGGTGGTAATACCCCTTTGAAATCCTGTAAGAGTAATGGGAAGAGCAAGGAGATTTAAGGTGATGGCACTTTTTGCCGACTTGGTCCCCAAACCTTTGATTAATCTAAAACATGGTGGTCACTAAAGTCTTACATCTAAAGGATTTTTCCTTTGTTATTAAAAATCAGAATAAATGATGGAGATATCTAAAAGGAAAGGTGTAGACAAAATAACGTTTATCAGTTCCATTATCAAAAAAAAAACAGATCTGAGTGTTTGAAATTCTAAATTACAAGTCAGCCCACTTTCTTTTGCACAGCATTACTTCTTTTCCTAAATGACAACATTTCATCTGTAAGACACCCTTAGGTCTCTCAATTGCACATTACAATATAAATCCTCTGTGGTGTAAGAGACAGTACATTCTGAACTGAGAGATACTCCACTTTGTCACTTTGCCTGCTCCCAGTAATCTCTGGTCTGCTGCAACTCCACATGTGAATGACAGGAAAGACAAAGGCAAACCAGGGGGTTGAATGGGAAGTACAGCTAAATAGTTGTGTTATTTGTCTTCACTTTATGTCCATAGTTAACAGAAAATATAGCTGTCCTATCTCTTGGATTTAACTCTTTCACAACTGAAGTGTTCCTTCACTCCATAATCCACTTTCCTACACTGACTGGTTATTTATCCTTCTGTCCCCTTTGATGACAATGCAGCTCAGAGGAGAATGGTTAAGAGTGCCCGGAAGGAAAACAGTCAAGAATACCCTGGAGGAAAGTGGCCAAGATCTTTCTAAGGTGAAAGTAGGATCAGCCACAAGTCATGCTGGCTCCTCCACAACTGGCTCAAGGAGAAAAAGAGAAACTACCCAATAAGATTCATAGGTGTACTTTGGGAGGTCGAGGCAGGCAGATCACCAGAGGTCAGAAGTTCAAGACCAGCCTGGCCAACATGATGAAACTCCATCTCTACTAAAAATACAAAAATTAGCTGGGTGTGGTGGCGGGTGCCTGTAATCCCAGCTACACGGGAGGCTGAGGCAAGAGAATCGCCTGAACCTAGGAGGCAGAGGTTGCAGTGAGCCGAGATCGCACCATTGCACTCCAGCCTGGGTGACAGAGTGAGACTCCATCTCAAAAAAATAAAATTAAATTGAAAAGATTCATGGGTGGAAGATGGCAGGGGAGTGGAGGAAGCTCCTGTGTGTATTGCCTGTGATGGGCTGAATAGGTGACACATTCTAACTTTCTGTAGGTAGGCAACACAGTCTAAGAGATGCCCATCTACTGAGTTAGACAAAGCAGCAGGTTCCTCTAGCCCTTAGCTGTATGAAAAACAAGCAACTCATGATTCATGGTGGTCCAGTGATTTGGTAGTTTGGACCCACATTCAGGCCACATAGTGGCTAACATGAAGAAAACATATCCAGCCCAGGGGAGGGAACCAACCAATTAGAAGGCAAGATCAGATCTGAACCTAGGCCCTGAAAAACTCCAGGAGCACTATCCAAATTATACTCTATGCAAATGAGCTCACATCAGCCAAAGGGAGATTGAACCTAATGAAGAAGAGCAGACCAAAGGACTGGAAAGCGTAGGAGAGATGGGTTCCTGGTATTCTCTTATTCAGACATACAGGATACCAGACTTAAAACTATTTTTGGAGACCACCGGGTCCTTTGCTGATCTGGAAAATTGAATTCAACATAAGGACTTATCAAAAGTTAATAAAAAATAAATGGGACATTCATATAATAGAGTATTAAAAATATCTTATATTTAGTGACTTTCATTAATTCATCAAATATTTATTTACTATTTACTATGGTTCCAAGAACTGCCCTAGACAATAAGATACAGGATGAAGAAGAAAGATAAGGTCTTCTCTCACCAGAAGCTTCTATTTTAGTGGGGAGACACTAAAAAAAGGAAATAAGATTATTTTAGATACCAAATGCTGCTATGAACAAAACTAAACAGGTTAGTAGTATACAGGGTGGCATTGATCAGAAGAAAAATGAAATTGAGTAGCTAGGGAAAAGTTCTGTGAGGAAGCAATATTTGAGTTGAGACCTGAATGAGAAGAGGATATCAGCAATTTAAGATCTGAAGGAAGAGCATTCTAGGCAGAGGAAACAGCAAGTGTAAATCTGAGATTAGAATAAACCTGATGAATTTGAGGCATAGAAAGAATTCACGGGTATCTGCAGTGTAGTGAGAGAAAGGGTAGGTGGCAGCCACAGAGGTCAGAGAAGTTAACATCTCATTATATAGTGTCATGTCCAATTTAATTAAGAAGTTATACTGTATCTTAAATTCTTAGCAGAGAATTTTAAGCAAGGGTGTAACATAGTCTGATTTATGTTTTGAAAAGATCACTTTGTCTATAGTGTAGAGAATAAAGCCATTAGGAACCATTATAAGAATGCAAAAATGACTTAGAAGGGATTTATTGGCCCATGTTACTGAAAGTTCAAAGGAAGAAAGGGATTTAGGCGTGGTTTAGTTGGGGATTTTACTCCACTTCTCTGAGACTCCAGTGGCTTTGCCTCCTACTTGGTGGCTTCTTTCTCAGGCTGCCTGGGCAAAATGGCTACCAGTCTGTACACCACATCATGCTTTCTCCTTCACATCCAGGAGGAGAGAACAGGATGGCTCCCTCTATCCATTTGACAAATGCCCTAAGATTTGCACAATTGAACTACCTTGAACCAATCCTTTGGCCAGATAAATATCAGGAGCTGCTTGGGTTAGTCCTGGGTTGTCTGAAACAAGTGCTGCAACAACAGCACATGGATTTTCCTGATAGGCTTTACGCCATCAGGGTTTTCCCTAGAGATGGTGGTGGGGTCAATCCCACACAAACCACACAGCTGCCACAATACAGAGAGTTGACTGGAGGCTGTCAACACAATCACCATGTCTACTACAGGGAGGAATGGCAAAAAAAAAAAAAAATAAATAAATAAAAAGCAGAATCAGATAGAATACTTTTGACACAGTTGTCAGAGTGGGCCAGGCACGTTGGCCCACACCTATATTCCCAGCACTTTGGGAGGCTGAGGCAGGTGGATCATCTGAGGTCAGGAGTTCAAGAGCAGCCTGGCCAACATGGCAAAAACCCGTCTCTACTAAAAATACAAAAAATTAGCCAGGCATGGTGGCAGGCACCTGTAATCCCAGCTACTTGGGAAGCTGAGGCAGGAGAATTGCTTGAACCTGGGAGCTAGAGGTTGCAGTGAGCAGAGATCACGCCATTGCACTCTAGCCTGGGCGGAAGACCAAGACTCTGTATCAAAAAAATAATAATAATAATTTAAAAAATAATAATGACTTGACCTGGGCTGGTGGCAGTGGAGGTGGAAAGAAGTGAATAGACAATATATTTTGAAGGCAGGGACAAGAAGACTTACTGCCAGATTGGGACTTGAGCATTTATGCTAAATTTTTAAGTATGAAAAAACAGGTTAGAAAACACTGTATCTCTCCCACATCTACTCTAGTTCCTCTTTCAGGCCAAATAAAGATCAGGAGAGCAATGAATGGCAAGCCTATGTTCCAGCCTACTGACACCAGAGAAAAAGCTTCTGCACTTGCTAGTCCAAGTCCCTTCTAGGCAGCAGTGTCAACAGACAAGTCAGGCATGAAAAACTTAACGATTGGCACTTGCTGTATCTTTAAAACAAAGAAAAATAGAATGTGGGTTTTACTAAGAAATTCTTGGTCAAGCAGACTCAATTCAGCCCTATTACACACAGCACAGGTTATTTTCCTCATGACCTAGGTCTCTGTCTGAGCCACAGACTCCTTTGATTTTCCTCCTCCAGCCCCATCTCACTATGTTACCATTACAAGGCTGAAGCCTGAATGAATTAATTACATCCCACATGCCAAGCTCCTTGCTGGAGTTTGCATACATTGTCTCATTAATTTGAATACTAAAATGAGGAAATTCAAGGTGTGTGGGCTGCCGATTTTGAGCAAAGTAAACTATTTTCTAAAAGCCCCCTATGTATTGCTTCACACATTCTATGTTACACAACTGACTAACAATACTAAGATTGTTACACAAATAGGAAAAATAAGACTTGGAAAGATTCAGTAGTGTGTACCAGGTCACACACCAAATTAAATATTGATATGATTTTGCTCTGTGTCCTCACCCAAATCTCATACTGAATTGTAATCTCCAATGTTAGCGGAGGGACCAGGTGGGAGGTGACTGGATCACAAGGGTAGATTTCCTCATTGCTGTTCTCATGATAGCCAGTGAGTTCTCAAGAGATCTGGTTGTTTGAAAGTGTGTAGCACCTCCCCCTTCACTCTCTTTCTCCTGCTCAAGCCATGTAGAACGTGCCTCCTTCCTCTTCGCCTTCTGCCATGATTGTAAGTTTCCTGGGGCCTCCCCAGCCATGCCTCCTACACAGCCGGTGAAACTGTGAGCCAATTAAACCTCTTTTCTTTATAAATTACCAGTCTCAGGTATGTCTTTATAGCAGCATGAGAACGAACTAACACAAAGGTGGAATCGAAATTCCATCCCTGCTGTTTTATTTGTTTTTGGAGTCTTTCCACCACCTCATAATGTTTTCTGGGTGGGGATGCACAGCACCACTAAGTTGGACAGGAAAATACTGAACTGGGTTTTGGTGGATATAGAGAGAGTGAGAAAACTTTAAGAAGCCGATAGAGCCACCCTCTTTCCTGACTTCAAAGCGTCCCAGGCCATTCTTGGGAGATGTTCTGACCCTAGTGAATAAACTTTCATCCTTTCTCCATCCATGGATGTGAGTCATATACAAACATATGAGCTGAAGAGACAGGTAATAGTAGTAATAACACATTTTTTTTTTACTTTCATACACATTCATTTTCTCATTTGATTTTTCAGCAACTCTGAGGGATAAACATAGTGAATATTTTTACTCATTCTCTACTTATGAGGAAACTAAATCTCAGAGAGGTGAAGGGACTGATTCAACACTGTTTGGAGCCAGAAGGGATACATTTTATCTAAATGTATGCAAATATATGCTACACGGTAAGACTTCCATGTAAACAAAGAAATGGAGTAATTTTAATTTTTTTCCTCCTCTAACAACAGCATAATAGGTTAGGTAGTTACTTCATGAGCAGTGTTTTAGAGAAGGATGCGCATGTAAGTGGCATTATAATTGTCATAAAAACCATCTAAAAATCCCCAGATTTCCCATCTGCAGATGACATTGGAGGAGGCAGCGATTTGGTGTGGATGGCTCTGAATGCTAATGTAGTTATTGTTTTCTACTCCTGTGCACATCCTGGGACCCACCACCCCAGCACGGATGTGCTGGGGGTGCTGTGTGAGCCACACAATCCCGCTGTCTTTCAAGGGCAGCCTTAAGGTCACAGTATTCTCCATCAGGCTGGCACAGCTTTTCTTCTCACCCTGCAGGGCCTCACACTGTCATCTGTCAAGCGCTTCCTCCACATTTCAATGCAGATGAAATTCACTCAGACCATGTGTGACATCAATTTGAAAATAGCAATATGCATGGAACAAATTCGAGTTCATTTGTGCGAAAAGCATTTATTGAGTGCCTACCATTTTCTGTACAAATTCTGAAAGAAGACTTAAGGCCATGGATAATGAAGCATTTATAATAGTATCCTATATATATCTATATAGCATATATATGCTATATAGATATATATGCTATATAGATATATAGGATATATATAGATATATAGATACATATATAGATATATGTATGCTATATAGATATATAGGATATATATATATATATGTACACTATATATACCTATCAAATATAAAATATTTGGTATATACCAAAAAGTGGAAAGTAAAAGAACATGTATCAGCATGTTTCTCTTATTTATACTATATATATTTGCTATCTTTTATCTCTTCTCAGCACCTAGTAACTGCTATTCATTGATTCAATGCAACAAATCAGTCTGTTTTAATGAAAGGAGAATCGATTTGGATTGGTGCCTAAGCCTGCTTTATTCCCTGCCCCCCCCAAAAAATGCACAGTTAATTTCCTAGCAAGAGTGTATAGAAAAATGGAATACAATTTAAAATACCTCTTTATCACCCTATTTTGTTGTTTATTAGCACAAATAATAATTAACATGTGGTAGCAGGTCATTTAACTTTAAATGTACTCACATATAATGTATGTGGAAAAACCTAAATTAAAATAATGCCTTAAATATGTAAAATATTTCTTTTCAAATGTAGTTATTGTGCTTCAGAAATTGCTCGATGAAAATTTTACCTAATATTTTTGAGGAGTAATTATCAATGAATTCTAAATGATTACTTCTTCAGTGAAATAGCTGGATTTTTTTCCTTGACTATATGGAAAGGAGCCCCTAAGTCTTGTATGTTAAATGAAATCTCTCCTCATTCTCTGACTGGCATTTTTGCCTAAAAGCCCATCTCTCTAAATCATCCTTGTCTAGTAAAAGGGAACTTGACCACATGTTCTTAATTCACTTTATAACATTTTAAAAACTAAAGAGTAGACAAAAGGCCAGTCCGCAAGACTTGTTGAAAAAGCCAGGGATGTGAAAAATGAACAAAAGAAGGCAGGGACTGTTCTAGATTAAAAGAGATAAAAGAGACACAGACAAATGCAATGCCTGAAACTTCATTGGATACAGGTTTAAAGCAGCTAAAAATAATATCTGGGGGACAATTAGGAAAATTTAAGTGCATGTTTGACAGTATAAAATTATTAATTTTCTGAAGTGAAAGAAACATGGGTGTTACCTATATTCTTCTTTCAATTTTTTGGTAGATTTTAAAAGCTTCAAAAGAAAAAAAGTTGAGGCTATAGGAACCCCAAAAGGAGGGAGCAGCTGTGAGAGACGAATGAGGCACTCCGCTCTGCACCTGGGTTTCCACCATGCACCACCTGTTTAGGGTTCACCCAGGTGTTAAAGGTCCACATGCTGCTAAAAGGAAAAGCATTCATGTCAAGCTTTGCTACTGCTTACCTTTCATTAGTAGCAGCACCATCGAACACTCTGCAGGGCAAAACGTACATTGATTTATTCATCCCTTCAATAAACATGTATTAAATATCCCCATGCTAGATGCTGAAGGTACAACAATGAATAAGAAACTGTTGCCTGTCTGCAGGCTGCTCAAGGATATCTTTATGTTAAGTGAATTTATCCACGTGAAAGTGTGTTTGAGAGTGAAAGAGAATATGCTAACACAATCATGAAAATTACATAATTAAAATATTTATCGAGCAACAAATTGTGTTTTTACTATATTGGTCCTATTGTATTACATTGGCAGTTCTATTAAAAACTTTTAAAAAATAAAATTACTTCTAAAAATTGAAAATAACATACATTCATGCACCTTAAACAATTTTTAAAATTATTTTGTTATATTGACTACCTGAATGCTTTAAAAATGAAATAAACAAAACAATGACTGTGATGCATATTCAGTTGCTTAGCTGCATCTGTCTCTAATATGTTACTAGTATTTTCTTGAAGAGTGCAGTTTTTTCAATAAGCATCTTATTATTTTTAATTTGTTCATCAAATTGTAGTCTGCAAAGTGTTATTTTGGTGGTTAATACATTTGAAATTGTTAACATCCGAAATTGATACTTCTCTATTTTTTTATTTGATAGTATGTTCTCTCCATAGGCACTGAGGTTCCTGGCAAACTCGGAGCCAGTTATGAAGAATAGTCTCAAATCTAATTTCTTCTAATTGAAATGTATAAATATTTTACCCCAATATTGTCACAAGCACTGCTTTTTGCTTTCCTTCAGAGTACAACTTCTTTGACAAATTATTTTGTAGGAAAAAAAGAACTTCTAAAAAAACATAGCCTGAATTTATATACTTTTGAATTTTTTGCCAAATATAAATCCTGCAAAATCTAAGAGTTCTCAATATCTTTCAATTCCAGACGTCAATATAAATTATCAAATTAAAAATTGGAGCTCCATCAAAATATTCTTTCTACAAGTCAAGATACTCAAAATTTATTCCTGTACACACTGTTTGAGTTCCCCATAATTTCTTCAGTTTCTCCTTGGTTTTGTAGAAATAAGGTTTTTTGGTTTTTGTTTTTGAGACAGGGTCTCGCTCTGTCACCCAGCCTGGAATGCAGTGATGTGATCTCGGCTTGCTGCAGCCTTGACCTCCCAGGCTCAAGTGATCCTCCCACCTCAGCTGCCTGAATAGCTGGGACCACAGGTGTGCACCACCACGCCTGGGTAATTTTTAAAATTTTTTTGTAGAGATGGCATCTCCCTATGTTGCTCAGGCTGGTCTCCAACTCCTGGGCTCAAGTGATCCTTCCACCTTGGCCTCCCAAAATTCTGGATTAATGCATTTAACATTTTCAATATTATAGGCTTTCTTTTTTAAATCAACTTTTTCTTTTAGAATAATTTTAGAGTTACATAAAAACTGTAAAAGTAGTACAAAGAATTCCTGTATATCCTTCACCCTGTTTCTCCTTTTGTTAACATCATGCTTTAACCATGGTACACTTGTCATAACTAAGAAATCGACACTGGTACATTGCTATTAACTAAATTCCACCCTTTATTCTGATTTCATTAGTTTTTCCCTAACGTCCTTTTTCTGTTCCAGGATCTCATCCAGGATACCTCATTACATTTAGTCATCATATCTCCTTAGTCTCATCTTAGTCTGTCTTTATTTTTGATGACCTTGATAGTTTTGAAGAGTACTGGTCAGATATGTTATAAAATGTTCTTTGATTTTTGTTTGATGTTTTTCTTATGGTGCACTGGAGTTATGGGATTGGGAGAATACCACAAAGGTGAAATGCCTTCCTCATCACATGGTGTCAACATACCATAGCACTAGTGATGTTAACCATGATCACTTGCTGAAGGTAGTGTTTGCCAGGTTTCTCTACAATAAAGTTATTATTTTTCTTCCTTTTCATGCTCTATTTTTGGAAGAAAATCATGAAGCCCAGCCCATACTCAAGGAGGAGGGAATTATACTTCCATTCCAGGGGAACTGTATATATGTATTCAGTGCAGATTCATGTATAATCATACTATGCTTTCAGTAATAATCCAACATTATTATTATTTTGTTTTTCAAATTATTCCAATGTGGCCACTGGGAGCTCTTTCAGGTTGGCTCTTTAGTCCCTTCGGCATGCCTTTATCCTTTGTTTTAGGGGTTCTTCCTTGCTTCCTGGGGCTACAAATGCTTCAAGCTCATCTTATATTTTCCCTGTTCCAATCCTAGCCGAAACTGAGAGTTGCTGACATCAACCATTTCTCTAAGGACCCCTGGTTGCTTTTATTGGAGAATGATATTTAGAAAGCAACATCTGGGATCTGGGTGCAGGCTTTCTTTTTAATAATTTCAACTCAGTAAATGCTGCCAAAGCTGACTTTTTGGCATTACATTCACAGAATGGTTTAATGATTGATAGATGTACAGTTGACTTTTTAATATACTAAAAGGTTAAAAAGCTCATTTACAAAAAGTTGAACGCTGTTGTAGAACATTAACATTGATTTGCAAAGTAGTTCTTCAAAGGCTAAAACACTTGTAAATTCAATTGATGATGGGAAGAAAAGAGATAAAGTGCAATTTGCCATGTCAAAGCTTGTTTTATTATTCAACATCAACTTCATAGCAAATATTTTATGACATTAACCATGTAAGATATGTTAAACTCTTTAAACTGCAACAACTACAGACTCTATTTTAACAGATATGATATCATAGTTTGTTTGAATACAATTATGGTTTATCCGTACATGACAAACAGCTTCAAATTTATTTCTTCTCCATAGATTTTTATATTAATACAAATGTTATATTTACCACAAAGCCTTGCTCCACCAAAATTTAAATTCATGTCATTACCACAAAACAAATACTTTCTCTGTAATGTTAAACATTTTATCTAAGTTTCCAATAGCTTCAGAAAGTTGTCATTTGTTTCACTTTTTCAGAATGCATTTCCAAAACTTTATGCTTAGGAGTTTATGCTGAACAATATGAAAAACCAAAAATGAATTTAAGCAAATCAGATCTTCCTGTTTGAAATTCCCTCTTGCAGGAGTTTGGAGAATTGGTTTGTTGGGACAAGGAATGAGCAACTTATTCAGTAATTTATGGGGGAAAATGAAGACAGCCTGAGTTAAGACAGTGGCTATGGAGATGGAGAAGTGAACTATCTCAGTAGATGTAAAGGTACTACATTTAACTGAATTTGGTGCCTACATAGATGTGTGAAGTGAGAGAGAGGGAGTAAAGCATGACTTCTAGGTTTCCAATTTGATAACGAGGTGGTTAACAGAACCATTAATGAGATGAAGAATAAAGGATGAGAAGACTTGGTAAATAACTGTAATCTCAGCACTTTGGGAGGCCGAGGTGGGCGGATCAGTTGAGGCCAGGAGTTCGAGACCAGCCTGGCCAACATGACAAAACCCCATCTCTACAAAAAAATACAAAAGTTAGCAGGGTGTGGTGGTGCACTCCTGTAATCCCAGCTACTTGGGAGGCTGAGGCACGAGAATCACTTGAACCCAGGAGGCAAAGGTTGCAGTGAGCTGAGATCATGCCACTGCACTCTAGCCTGGGCAATAGAGCAAGACTTCATCTAAAAAAATAAAATAAAAGACTTGGTAGAAAACATGAAGGAATGGGGAGTTCAGGTTTAGACAAGCTGCCTAGAGATATTGTTTCAGGAGTATATTCTTCAGTATATAATTGATAATTGAAGCCATAAAAGAGGTCACATGGGGTTGTATAGAGAGAAAATAAGTCTAAGGAAGAATTCCAGCAACACTTAAAGGGTTGTCAAAGGAGCCTGGGAAAGAATGAGCCAACACACAGAGAGGAAACATCTCTGAATGAGTAAAACAAAAACAAACAAACAAAAAAATGAAGGTATTTGTGTCCCATGTGAAAGCCTGCCAAAGAGTAACCTCTGCAAAGGAGAATTTTAATAATCAAGTAGATAGAATGACCTGTCCTGTGGATACCAGTCAGTCTCTTTCTTTCCTGCCACTTCTGTCATTGGCCAATGGGCTCATTAACAAAGTAGCCATGATGGCAGAGATGGTGGTTATGCATGAGCTCGGCAACATGGACTTCTACTCACCAAAGTCAACTTGGATATGGCCACAGTTGAGTGCCCAATCTGCCAGCAGCAGAAACCAACACTGAACACCAATATGACACCATTCCCCATGGTTATCATCCAGCTACCTGGAGGCAAGTTGATTTCACTGAACCAGTTCCATCATGGAAGGGGCAGTGTTTTGTCCATACTAAAATAGAAACTTACTTTGGATACAAACTTGCTTTTCTCACCTGCAATGCTTCTCTGCCAAAACTGTCATCTGTGGATTCACAGAATGCCTTATCCACCATCATGGTTTTCCACACAGCATTGTTTCTGATCCAGAAACTCACTTCACAGCAAAAGAGGTGCAGCAGTGAGCCCATGCCCTCACCAATGCAGGTGGACATTATCCCATTCATTGAGGGCTTGCACAGAACAAATAGGTGGACTAATGGTGAATTCACTGTCCCCGTTTGAGCTGGGGCATCTGTCTTCTCCTGCCCCTGGACATTGGAGCTCCTGGTTCTCCGGACTTAAGGAATTAGACCAGGAGTTACACCACCAGTTCTCCTGGTTCCCAGCTTGCAGATGCCAGACCGTGGGGCTTTTCAGTCTCCACAATCATTATATGAGCCAATTTCTATGATAAGTCTTTATCTATCTCTATATCTATCTAGCTCTAATCTAATCTATGTATCTACCATCTACATTCTATTCATTCTGTTTCTCAGGAGAACCCTAACACAGAAGGGTTGCAGGATGGACTATGGAACATGGAAAACAGGAAAAAAGAGAAGGGCTCAAGAGACTGTGATCTCTGAGAAAGCACACCTTTGCTGTAACAGCAAAGAGGGAGAGATAGATGTTTGTGGTCAGAGAACAGAGTTTAAGATTTATGAGGTGGAGAAGTTCAGGGTAATAACCAGTTCTGGGATAGGACCTGGATTATGTTTGACCTATGTATAATGTCAAGATAGAGATTATTAAAAGACACTGAGGAAATTGCCATTATTCACCTTTTCAGGTGTATCCTAACTGGGGGCCTAACATAATGTCATAAATTAGGGTAAGAAATGTATTTTAAAATTGTCATGTAGTCTCTTTGTCAGTAAGCAAAGTTTGCCTTAGCCCATGTGATTGACCAAAAACCACTTGTAGGTCCTAAAATTTGAATGAATAAATAGAAGTTAGGAATCACATGCCTGTGTGCAATCTAATGGCTTGAGCTGGCACTTAGTTGGCACTGCCACCAAGTGGCCAGTCGGGAGAACTGCATTTGGTGTTAGAGCTAGTTCTCAATGAGGTATTTGCCGTTCTGAGATCCGACTCTCAAGCTCTGGAGCTACCAACTCTCCAGGGAAATATTTGTGTGACAGCTTTCCAGTGAAATGTGCAATCTGTCAATCCTTTAGATGAGAAAGTACTTAAAGGATGTAGCTTGATGGATGAACTACTCTAGCATAGTCACAGTTTTTTCTCTGACAATTTGGGAAAAGGTTGTTTTCAGAATAACTGTACACTTATAAAAACAGAGACTCCAAACATTGAAAAACAGAAAAAGTAAGCATATTTGATGATACCCTTTCTATATACAGACCTGAGTCTTCAGATCCTTGCAAATTTCTCAACGGGGAAGGACATTGCAGCATGGCAGACCACATGGATATACACGGGGAAGCATCATGAGCATGGTCTGTCCATTGCCTTTTGCCTGTGTCTTGTGTAATGGAGCCATTTTTACTAAATACACGAGGACACTATGTACCTTTGAAATACATACTTGAAAGACAAAAAGGTGAAATTGGTCAGGATTGAGAAGCAAAGAGTAAACCAGTGGACCTGGTCCAATATCTCCTTGACTCTACTGTGGATCTTCATTAAAATTAGGAAAAAAAATGGTGATTGGGAGATGAATAGCTACCTTCATTTACAAAACAAATTCCACAACTATTAATATTTATTGAGTACTTACCATGGGCCAGGTAAGTACTTCCTATATAAGGTAACATCCATAGTGCTTACCATGTTCTAAGTGATGGAGACACAGTAATAAACAAAAGAGGCCAAAGTCCCTGCCCTTGTAGAGCTGACATTCCAGTAGACTGAGGTAGATATGATTACCCCTGCACCACAGATGAAGAAGCTGAAGCTCAGAAATGTAGCAAGTAATTGACCGAATGAGGTATTAGGCACTGGTGTGTTCTACAACAAAATCTGTGGTTGTTATTTTTATGCTAGGAGCAAGGAGGTGTAATCTCTGACCCTTTGTTACACCTGAGAACTGTGCCATAATGATCATTACAGAAGGCTTTCAGACATACACAATATCGTTGGCACCTGAAATCTTTCTTTAAACTTACCTTATGAGAGTCCGTTTTGCTAAGTGTCTCCACATTCTTCTGTGACTTTTTTTAAAATTATACTCTTTAGCTGCTGATGAGGTGGGCACAGCGGCCGTTGGCAGCTGCTGCTTTGGGTTGCTTTGTCAATCTCTGCCCCGGTCTGATGTTTTCTACAGGGAGATGCCTTGGATCCAGGTTCAGGGATTAAATAAACTTGTCAGCTGAAGATGAAAAAAAAAATTATACTCTTTATTACATTATATTGAAATTAACTTGTGTATGTCTGTCTCCCTCATTGAATTGTGGGCTCCCTAGAGCAGAACCATGTCTTATTTATCTTTATAACCAAATCAAGTTCAGGCACTGGCAAGAGTAGGAACCAGTGGTACAGAATTTGCAAACACTAGCATCTTTGAAATGCCCCATTGACTAGCAGTTTCTGCCCACCTCAAACCCATTGCTGTATCCTGATCAGTTCCTGACAAATTCTTGTTGGCTTGAACTTGTTTGAGCTTTAGTCTGTATAGGGGGAATGGAACTGCCAATGGAAAGAGAGATAGACTACGAAATCTCACTTTTCAAGTGGATATCTTTTCTTCTGTGAGTATAATACCTCTAAATAGCCTGAAGGACAGAGCTCTCTGCTACCACTTATGATCACATAGTGCTTTGCATTGGATAAATTATTTTTACATTAATCACATTTGTTGCCTTATGAGGTGGGTAGGGCAAGTTTTACTTCCTCATTTTATCCATAATGAAGTTGAGGCTCAAAAACATTAAATGACTTCCCTCAAAGCACACAACTTACACAAGGGGCCTTTAGACTTGATTCCAATCCATACCTAGACCCATTACATAGATCTGTCTTCCCTACTGTACTGCTACTATGAATTTTATCAATTCCACTATAAACATGTTTTATAATCTGGAATTTGTCAAATACAGTATGCCTTTGTTATTAGATAGTGGAGCTATTTTTACTCAATACACAAGGACACAATGTATCTTTGAAATAAAGAGATGAAATTCACCAAGATTGAGAAACAGTAAACCAGTGAGTTCTCTTCAATTTCCCTTTGGATTTATGGTGGTGCTACACTAAAACTGAGTAAATTAAATCATTCTCTGAATATCTATTCCAGTAAAATGAAGGTCATTTATAAATTATTTATAAATCATTATAATTCAAAAATAATTCAAAAAACAAATGTAAATATTAAATGCAGGCATTTAAACATTTCACTCTCAAAGAATGAATGCATGGGAGGTAAAGGATATGAGGCTAATTTGATGGGGACATGAAATGGTAAAACCTTAGAATTCTGAGCTACTGCCCCCCAAGAAAGATATTAATGTGCACACAGGAAATTTCATGGCACCCACATTTCTGCTCTGTTTTCAGCTGTTATCTCAAAGACAAAGGGAGCAGACTATAACACTCCCATCCCTTTCCCACAGGGTGAGCAGGACTAATAGGTGGCTGCCCCGTTAATCCATTACACTGGCATAAGATATAACTAATAGTCCCACCAGAACAGTAGGCATTAATTGGGATTGTCCCAGATAAACTGAGATATATGGTAACCCTTGTAATAAGAGCATGCATTTCCCAGAGCATTTGGGGAGGTAATTATCCCTATAAACTCTGAAGCCAAAGCGAAACTTGTGCAAATTAATTGAGACTGAAAACCAGCCCTGGTATTTCTACCTTAGCCCAAGAAGCACTGGAGACATAGCAGAGGGTTACGGAACCTGATGCAGCAGGAGAAATACAGAGTGGATTAAGCCAAAGACAGTTCATTTAAATTTGTTTCCTCAAAGTTTCTCATAATTCCTAAGGATGGAGTTGGATATTAACATCCACTTTCTCTATTTATATTATACATAGTTTATTATCTATAACTAGGCTTAGGAAAACTGTTTAGTAGAGTATGTAGTTCTCATTCCAAATATTAAAGGCAGTAGTTCACAGTGAATCGTGGTGATTGTCTCTCTTAGAACCCAAGGTAAAGCACCCTTCATGTTTTTTCAAAGAATAAAAACTAGGCTGTATACCTCAACTCACTAACACATCACAATTCTGCTAGCCAACATGAGCAAACTCATAAAAATGACTTACTTTAAGAATACTCAATTAACATGTCTTACTTCTATCTTAAGAATGCATATCATACTTTCATTTCATTTGCACTGTAACTATTCATGTGTTTATTTTCACCACAAGATTTGAAGGTCCTCATTGGCAGGGATGATATCTTGTTCATCTTTGTACCCCTAGTATCTGGAATAATTCTCCAAGCATTTTATTATTGGAAATAAATGTCTTTTAAAAGTACCACTTATAAAATGAAAGATTTTTAAAATGAAAGAATTTTACTAACGCTTTAGTTAATAGATAGCACCTTACCATAGACCAGCCAGCTAGGGGCAAATATAGTGAGAAGAAAGAAGTCCACTTAGAAGAAGGAAGAAAAGTATAAAAGGTCAACTGATTTTTCACTTTGTTTTAAGACATTCCAGGTCATAATGTTTTATGCTTACTGAGACAGCTTATATGATAAGCTATGACCATTCTTCAAGAAGTTGGAAAGAAATAAATTCTTGTACAAACATCACTGCCAATGGTGTTGAACATGAGCACCTGTGTTTGAAATGAAAGCACAGGCCAAGGCCCCTTAGGGAATATAAACAGATATCAACAATGCATCATAGTTACCAAATTAAATGAAAAAGGAGGTGTTTTCTATATGTTTCCTGAAACCCATGTGTTTTCTTTTGTGCTTGAAAGCAGTCCCAAGCCTTGGCATTGTGACTAAGCTTGAAAAAGAATTCTCCTGAAAGTGCTCCCCATTTCTCAAAAATTAAGAGAAAAAGAGATCAGCCAGTATTTTAGGTTATTCATTCTCATTTTTAACACCAACATAGCTGCTAAGTAATTTTAATAGCAAATATTAGTCATGTTATTTGAAAAAAAGAATTTAATTAAAATTGATCAATATAATTCATTGGTCATTTACTTAAAAAATGAATGTTCTTTATACTGATTATAAAATCATTCTGAAATTTGGCTAGCACCAGAAGTGGAAAATAATTCTTACTCATTTAGAAATTTAGAGCCATACCAGACAAGTCACTGATGTGAAATTCAGCAGCCATGAGAAGGTAAATGGGGATTTACTAGTAAGTAAACTTTATGAATCTGATTGATTGGTAAGGCTTGAAAATCATTGTCAGTTGTTCTAAGAGTTCATCCACGTTTCTTAATAGCAAGTTTAGGACTTAGGCAAACTGCTCTTCTTTGTTTTTTTTTTTTTAATCTAAAGTGTATATTTTATATAATATTATTATAATATAAAGGTAAAAAATGAAATGAGTTTGGGAAGTAATGAAATAATGCAGTCCTTCTCAGAGCCTTTAATATATTAATGTGGGTTATGACTCTGAGAAGAGGGAGTTATATGTGTCCCAAACTCTTTTGACTATTATATTAGTTATCTACAGCCACAATAATTCCAGATGGCAAACCACACCAAAATTCAGTGTCTCAGAACAATCTTCATGTATTCTCACAGAGCTGAAGTTTGACTGGAACACTTCTGCTTCAAGCAGCAGGCCTGGGAATTTGTGTTTTCTATGCTTCTCTCATCCTCCTTGGCCTAGCAGGCTAGCCAGGACATGTTCTTCTTGGACAATGCCAGAGGTACAAAAGAGGCAGTGAAAATGCACTAAGTTTCTTAAGTCCTACTCCTAAAATTGTCATACTGTGTCTGTAATCCATATTCAACTGGACAAAGCAAGTCACATAGCCAAGCCCAAAGTCAGGGAGTGATGAAATATGCTCCATCCATGGTGAGGCCATTGCAAGGAGTGGATCCAAGGAGGGGTTAAAGAGCTAGGACCAACAATTGTCTCACAACAAAACTCTTTGTTTATGGATCATCTCATGGAACTAGTGCTCCACAGAACACACTTTTGGAAACACTGCAATATCTCACTGCTTTTTATGCAATGCTTATGTTAGTGGGCACAAAATGACATCTGACTAACTTTCTGAGAATTTCCTAATTCAGGCTAATTTCCTGAGATGCTGCAGCCTGAGAGACAATTTAAAATATTATAATCTAAATGGAACCCACTACTAGATTCCTAGCAGAAATTCTTCTTGTTAATAGGTCTTTAAAATCCCTTCTGTTGTGAAAACTCAATGAAAATTCAGCTTATAGAGTCAATATGGACACAGCGGGTTCAGTTTAGAGAGAGATCATTTTCCTAGAGAGCCTCAGTCAGGATTCTGCAAAGGATTTTGGAGGGAATCAGATGCTTTGATAGGAGTGGATGATTAAGACTAAGTTCTCAGAGACTGTGCTTCGAGGAAGTGCAGAGCCAAAGACCAAGCTGGGTAGCAGATGATTGCAGAGACAAGTAATATCCCAGCCCAGGCCAGTGAGGAGCTCAAGAACAGCCTGGGTCCTCAGAAGAAAGCCATGCCAAGTCAGCAGAGAGATGTTCCTGAACAATCCCTTAATGAGAAGGAATAGAGATCAGGACCTGCTGCGGACACTCTGCAGTCCATGGTATATACACGTTTGGAACACAATAAGCCTCATTCTCATCAGCATGAGGGGTCAGTCATTGCACCAATCTCTTTTATTTTTATAAAACCAGAATTAATGAGACTCACCAAAAATCCTTGAACCAAATGAAAGTTTTTCTGATAAGCATAGTCAGAAGTCTGTAGCCATAGCAGGACAACACCAGGTCAGCCGGAGCTCTGCCCACAAATCCACCTCCCAGCACATAAATTGCCAGTAACCTGAAGAGCTTTGTCTGACAAACTTCCCAGTTTCCAGCTGAGAAAAAAAAGGCAGGGACTTTACAGGGGTGGGGTTTTAACTGGGCATTCTGGCTCTCCTACTGCTATCTAAAGAATGTTACCTCATCAGAAAGCTCAAGGTCCAGGGTGAGAATTAGGTGGGATTCTATTTCTGGTTCAGCCTCTGTTTCACTGTCTATGGTTTACTTTAACTTTTAACCTCAGTTTCTTTATTAGTAAAATGGGATAACACCCATCTTGTGTACCTTCCAATTATTATAAAAATAATGTAATGATACCTTTTAAAGTATGCATAAAAAGTGGCACCAAAATGTAAGGTAAGGCCACATATCCTCCATTGACACCAATAGAAATTGTCAAACTTAAGCAAGGATGCAATTAAGCCTCATATGCTAATATTTCCCTAAATAGTGACGTCTAGCACAGGCTTTTTAGCCACCAATGCTCCATAAAACACAATACAATATATTGGGCTAGAAAAAAAAAGTATTCTTCACTTTTCAATTTAGCAACAACAACAAAATGAGATTTATTCATCCTTCATTTAGAGTACACAACTAGATAGAATTCGTCAACATCATCATCCTCATCATTATCAATCACTGGAACAAAGAATTGAAGTAGCAAAAATTGGCATTGCCAATATTCCTGTCTTTTTTAAAATGGATTGCCTACAAATGAGAAATTCAAGACAAGCCACTCTGAGTTTTCTTTGAAACGACTTAACATTTGGTCAGGGATAGGAAAGTTGAACAGGAAAATGTACATCAAAATTTTAACTTGGAAAAAAACATAAGGTGTATAAACTTATAGTGGACTGAATTTTTATATTATTAGAGAACTAGAAAAGGCTTTTCCACAAGGGTATTGTAGAGGGCGTTTAGATAATCAGCCTAATAAATGGGTCAAGTGTTTCTTCTTGTTTTTCTTTCCTAAGAGATGCTTTGAAATCTCCCACTTTGAAATCCAAATTCTCTTTAAATTTAATCTCCCATCCTCATATCTCCTTGATTTTTCTGAGAGATTTTAGAGATGATGTCTTTTTGCACAAACACTAACTCTAAGGCGACTTCCAGTTCTGAAATGTATAATCATTGACTCTACACTTGCTTTTAAAAATTCTGATCTGTTGAATTTTGAAATTTTAACCAATTTCACTAACCTTTCAAGTTTTTCTCATTTTCCTAACTTAATGTGAAATACAGGACATTTTGCCATGCCACTCTGACTACTCATCTTATAGATGAAGGAAGGATTCTGAAAGGTGCTCTAATGACTATAATTATCATAGGGACCACATATTGAGCACTAACTACATGGCAGGCCTGATTTGAGGGCTTTTGCATATGTCAAGCCAGTGAAGCCTCTTAGCATCCCTGGGAGGGCAGTTTTACAATTCTGGTAGTACCAAATGAGCAACTGAGGATGAGAAACATTAAAGAACCTGCCCGAGGTCATATGCCTAACAGTAAATGATAAAGCTGAGGTGGAATGCGGGGCGGGCTGCCTGTCTCCAAAATCGTATGAGGCTCCCTTGGGTGGAAAGTGATCCAACTCCAGCTTCGTCCTTGTCACCTTATTTGCTAAGTAGCTACTAAGGCCAGCAGATTTGATCAGGGTGCAAGCATGAAGCTAAAGATCATTATAAAGCAGTTGTACTGGGTGGATTAAAAGTTCGTGAAAACAAAACAAGTTCCTTGGTGGTATTATGGGTTTCTTCTTTCCTCTCTCCTTTCCCCTTTCCCTTCCTTTAAACCTTTGGTACATCAATAAACACTTGTTCATATAAAATGGAGGTCGAGTTTCTATTACTGCTTAGCTGAAAACACCTACAAATGTTCACAGGAACTTTAGTGACTACCAGTCTAGATAAGCACTTGAAAATAAGAAAGAACAAGCTCCGCGAGAGCAGAGATGCCTTCAGATTTTATTCGCGAAGGCACCCCACGCTCCTAGAAAAGAGCACGACGCACCCGATGCTCGGATTGGATGAAGTGGCAAAGGTAACCCCGCTGGTTCGGGCGTTTGGCTGTTCCTGTGCCTGGACCCCCGCTTTGGAAATGGAGGTGGGGCTGGCTCCCAACCTGTCTCAGAGACCCTCGCACTCCTCCCCCACCTTCCGTCAGCTGGGACCCGCTGAGAGCCGTTTTTGGTCACGCGCGCTTAGCGGATAGACCTGCAGTCCCGCAGAGAGGAAGGGCGCCCGGGCTGTCCGCCGCGCGGGGAGGACGCGAGCACCCAGGTGACGTCCCGCGGGCTGCCGCGCGAGGGCCGGGCTCTGGCGTGGGCGCGCCCCAGGGCCCGTGGGCTGCGCGCCCGGGAAGGTCTGGCGCCTGGTCCACCAGTCGCCCCTCCCCGGGGCTGGCTCGCCGGTAGTGTCTGATTGCTGGGGGATCCCCCTCCATCCCCAGAAGGTACAAAGTTTGGCTCTGTGGAGGCACCTACGAGACGGAGCGGGGCGGGTGGGTGGCCGGCTGGTTTCACACTCGGCAAAGAAAATGGAAACACAGGTGGGAAAAGAAAAAGGGAGTGGCTTTCCGGGAAGCAGCGGCCCCGACCGAGACCGCTGGAGCGCGCCGGGCTAGTTCATCCCGGCTCTCCATGGGGACTAAAGAGGCTGAACTGAAGTGGCGAAGGCGAGGAGGCGATCACTGGCTTGTTTGCTAAGAGTTCGGGAAGGCTTTTTTGAACTAGAAAAGACAAATTCAGTTCTTCCTCCAGGTAGATCCCCGTGTCCCCTGTACGCGCCTCCGGACGGCCTTCTGTGAAGCCCCCATTCCCACTTAGTTAACTTAGTTAATATTATTCCTCTGTCACAGGACTCCTGCACGGTCAGGTCATCTGAACTCCTCAGTGGCCCTAGGGAAGTTAGTTAGCGGCTGTCAGAGAACTGGGGAAAGTAGGCAGGTGGTAGCCTAGGCCCTTTGCAACTCAGCTGGGGCTTCTGACAGCCTTTGAAAAATTCTTTCTAAAAATGTGCTTCTTGTATTTTTTAATGAGGCTTTGCCCCAAAGCCTAATATCTTTGTTTGAGGTGGAATCTTCTTATTAAAATGGCCCTGAAGCTACCACTAAAGAATCAGGCATGAACACAAAATCTTCTGGATTTGAGGAATGCGCAGTTCTAATTTCATAGAACTTAGCTCAGCGCAAATGGGGAGGCAATCTGTTTTCAATGAATGTTTTCTGACTTCTTAATAATGCATTTTTCTACTTAAATAATAACCTGTTTGTTAGTATAACTTAGTGGGTAGAGATGGGGGGGTGGGGATGCTGACTGGCTGGAAATGACTGGATTGGGTTGGTAACCCATTATTTGTGTTTCATTTGGATCAGGCATATGTTTAATGTCACAATTGAATTGGCCTTTTGCAGAGCAGACATGCCCTCACTTACTGTCTTATGGCTATGACAAGATAATTACAAGGGCAATGTTATTCGACTCTTAGCCTAACACAGACTATTAGACTGCACAAAGCATTCCAATTACAAGAAAAAAGTTTTTCAAGCCTGGGGAATAAAGTACCACCAATGTACAGGCCACAGAATGTTTCTGAAATATTAATGTAGTTAGTTAAACGGAGATTGAATAGGGAAGGAAAAGCCACCAGGCACTGTAAAGAGGAGCCAGGAACAATCCTACGGGTCCAAGATGCTGTGAGAGAACCAATTTCATTTTTAGTGTCAGCCTGGCTCTCCTCAAAAACTAGAAATAGATTTTGAGGGGAGGTCTGTTGTGTATACTGCTAAGTCCAGTGTCTATTTTGAGAGGCAAGCCTGTAGATTTAACCCAAGTTGTGGGCTAAATGCATAAGAGGCAGCAATTATCCTACCAGACCCCAAATTCCCCAGCCTAGCACTTTAGTCCTAGAGTCAGGTGTGCGGGAGGGAGCCTCCCCCTTCACAGGACCTTTGGATGCCCATTAGAACTATGGCTCAGGACACTGTCTAGTCAGAGGTCCTAAATCCCTGCAAGGGACAGTCACAGCTCCCACTCCACAAGGGATGGAAAATGTCCCTGTGCCCTGAAGATGCCGGGATGCCTCTGCCTTCCGCAGTGACACCCCCTCACCCAACATGACTCCTCTTCCTTCAACCCAGCTGGAAGAAACCCAAGCTATCACTTATTCAGCCTCCAATTTACTCATCTCCAATCCCTTATGCATTTATTTTTAACATTCTGATTCTCAGAAATGAAATGAAATATATACAGGTGGGGAAATTAGAGCAAAGCTGGAAATGAGAAGAAGAACCTTCTTCATGCCTCAGGGCTGAAGAAAAGAAAAACACTTTTGTCAAGAGCCTGCTCTGTTTTAGGCAATGTTCGCATGCCTCATTTCTTTTTTCTTTTCTTTTTTTTTTTTTTTTTTGAGACGGAGTCTCACTCTGTCACCCAGGTTGGAGTGCAGTGTCGCGCGGTCTCTGCTCACTGCAAGCTCCGCCTCCCGGGTTCTCGCCATTCTCCTGCCTCAGCCTGCAGAGTAGCTGGGACTACAGGCGCCCACCACCATGCCCAGCTAATTTTTTGTATTTTTAGTAGAGACTGGGTTTCACCATGTTGCTCAGGATGGTCTCGATCTCCTGACCTCCTGATCCACCTGCCTCGGCCTCCCAAAGTGCTGGGATTAACAGGCGTGAGCCACCGCGCCCCGGCCTCAGATGCTTCATTTCATTAAATCCTCACGATAACTATGTAGAGAGTATTATTCTCACCTCACCTATGGGGAAACTGAGGCTCAGACAGGTTGGTGACTACCTAAAGTCACACTGCTAAAAATGACAGAGCCAAGATTAGGTCCAAATTTATCAAAGTCTTCTAGGAAGGCCTGTATGCTTTGCTGGTGAGGGCTGTCAGGAAAAGCCCAAGCAGCTCTGTCCTCCAGCCCCATCTGTCTCCCAGCTTCCCTGAGGAGGATGCACTGAGGCTAAATCTTCCAGAAGCTGTGCCTGGAGAGCATGTATTCACCGCTAGGGTCTCCTGTGGAGGTCCTGGGCCCCATAGGCGGCTCTGCTCCCCTCTTTTCCCCACTCTTTATCTCCATGCCCGCACCTTCTCACTCCTCTGACCCCAAACTGTTCGATGCTACAATTTCAGAACCATTGGCATATGCCCTTTCTCTCCCTGGGGTTACCACCCTTTCACCACATGCTTGGGTTTCTTCTTTCTGTCCCATCCCAACATTATTGGGAATCTCATAAAGACCCCTCCAAATAAAGCAGGAGATGCATATCTAAGGACATACTAGATGTGGCTCCAAGGTCTGAAGAACCGAGGGCCTGGAGCTTCCAAGCAGCTGATACCCTGATCATCAGGGTGGGAAGGAGGAGAGGTGGATACTGAGGCCTTGGGCAGGGTCCAGGATTGGGTCTCCTCTGTCTTGGTGAAGGGCAGGAAGATAAGAAAAAAAATGTAGAGAGAGACAGAGAGGAGACAGAATTATGTAAATGGCTTTTATCCAGGGAAAAGTTTATGATTATAGAAAAGTTTTTAAAAGTTAGATTGATTGTGTAAAATTAATGCTGATGAAATGACAGTCTTTTGTAAATTTCTTATGACTTACAGCTAATTGCCATGCAGCTCAGTAACAATTGTGTATTTCATTAAATACAGTTCCAAATAACTTTACCGTACATTTTACTTAATTAACATACATTTTTAAATCTTTCTATACTCTCAGGACTAATAAAGTTTCTCTTGAATACTAGCTTCTGGCATGATTATCTGATCATCATTGAAGTAAATGAATACACACACACACATACAGGGTAAATGAATACACACACACACATACAGGGTAAATAGTGTGTTTATCCTATGACTCTAACATTAAGAGAGACAGATAGAAACCACTTGTTTTATGAGAACAAGTTTTATCTTTGGGATTTGTATTAAGCATGTAAAATATTGGCAAAGCTTTTGCTATGCTGAACTCAAGTCTGACACATTTAGTAGCTCATTACTCCAATTTTAATGTAAGGTTGCAAAACACTGAAATCTCATCACCTGGGTCCCACCTTGTTCTAAATATACCTGACATCCCAAACCTTCTAAATAATTGAGCTAATTCATTTACAATGCTCTGCTCACTTTCATTAAGATGGAATTTAGTTTTTTTTTTGTTTTTTAAAGCCAATGAACTTGCAAGTTTACTTGGTTGAAAATGCCTTTTAATCTTAGAAATGTAAAAAGATTATATATTGCTACTTAAAAAAATCTAGGTGAATTTTTTCTCCAACTAAAATTCTTCGGAAATTTAAAAGAAGCTGCTCTCTTTGAGGGAGATTATTTCACGGAGCACATATAAAAACATTTTTTCAAATAAAAATGTTATAAAATTGTGTACTATTAAGGCATTTCATTGCATAAATTCTGCCTAAAATATTTTATATTTTCAAAAAGTGGAAGGTGAGTACAGTTTGTTGTTTACAGAGAGCCTCTGTATCAGAGACTTATGTAATGTTCTTGAAATATGTCTTGATTCTTTCAAGCAGCAGTGATGGCTTATTAAGCAAAGTCTATGTAGCTCTTCAGGAGCAGTTTTGGACCCTAAAGAGAGAGGAAACATTTCAGGGGGACCATTGTTCCCATCGTCTTCTCAGGGTAGAGGTCAAAGGTCAGCACATAGTTTTAGAGCCTGACAAAACTGGGTTCAATTTTTGGCCCTACCACTCACTTACAGAGGAACCTGAGCAATATCCTCACCCTCTTAGCCTCAGTATTCTCTTTGGCAAAATGAAGATAATAGTAATTTTACCTTTGATCTGACTGTGAACTTTAAATGAGGTAATGTACATAAGGTACTTAACACAGTATCTGGCACATTACAAACATTCTATAAATCTTGCTTAAAATTGGTACTTTACCTCTTTATCTTGTTTTTTATGTCTTCCTTCATGAAAATCTAGGCAATAATTTTTTTTGAATTTGATACAGGGTCATGCTCTGTCGCCCAGGCTAGAGTGCACTTACACAGTCTTAGCACATTGTAACCTCAAACTCCTGGGCTCAAATGATCCTTCTGGTAGGTAGTAATTTTAAACCTGTGGTGTATTTCATATGATCTTAGACCCTCTTTCAGCCATTGGAAGTGCTTGTTCTTAACCTGTGTTTAATATTTATTTTTCTCATAGGAGTCATAAGTGTTTTCATAAGTATGACTATGTACATGCATGTGGGTAAATATCGATTTAGCTCATGGAGACATTCAGGCTGGTCTCTTAATTGACTCATAACGGCCTTGAGAAGCTAACATTAGTCATAAATAAATACTACCTGATGGCCATTCTGGAAGAGAAACCCAGTATGCCATTCATTATATGGAAAAAGTTATATGCCTGCTGGTAGCAACTTGTGCCCAATAACAATCAACTATTAGAAGATGCACGTAAAAAAGATGGAGTGATGTGTCTTCTAATCCTCTATAGTATTTAAGAATGTTCAAAAGTGAGAGGCAGAGGGTAAAAGGAAGGTCTTTCTGTTCTATTTCTACCTATGAGAAATGTTGTTGATTGATTATCTCGTTTTTCCTTGCCTTGAGTTTGGGTGGCTCTGAGTTTCAGGCAAGTGTGTGTCCATTTCTAGCCCTGTGGGTGGGGGGATGAATTGAGATTATTTTAGACCAATTACTGTAATTTCACTCCTCCTACCAATGCAATGATTGGTTTGGCAAAGAGCATGTGACACAATTCCAGCCATTGATACTTGTGGGCCAGTGTGCAAAAGAGGCTGCTGGGAAAGGACTGCACTTTCTTTAAAATGTCCACAAAGAAGGGATGGTCCTTTCTGGCTTTTATTGTGCTTACATGAGGATGAGGACTAGCTGCTGTAATCATCTGGTATCCCTGTGGGGACCATCCTTGGAAAAGATTTGTATACTGAGGATAGCTGCAGTGGAAAAGAAGGAAAAGACCTGGACTCTGATGTCACCATTAGGCCACTGAAATAAGCAATCTTGAAAGTACCACCCTGTCTTCCCCTGTGAAAGTCTACCCTATGGACTTCACTGTTATGTTTAAGCTATTTAGGGCTGGGTCTTCTGAAACTGACAGTAGGAGACAGCCCAAATGATTTACACACCAGCCATAGAGAACCAAATCAGAAAACTCTTGCAATGAATCCATCCCTTGGGACATCAAATGAGTTAAATATTCTGCTGAAGTCTATGGCTGCCTTAGTTCCAGAGATGCAAATAATCCCTAATGATTTTTAACTTAGCCTCCTGTTTTAAAGCCTTTTTGAAAAAATGATTAACCCTCTATAGACTTGTTAGTCTCTTGTTTCCTTTTCTTTTCTTTCAATATTGGCCTGCCAATCTTATCAATAAAAAATAACCTTTTGTGCCCCCATGAAAAATTTTAAAACAGTGTTTATTTTGGGGTGCTAATGAAGTGACTTCAGTCACTTTTATATGTTTATCCATTTATTTCAATTTTTATTGTTTTTTAACTCTTAATTTCTTATATTTTGCTTACTTTTTCTGTGTGCTGTTTTGATCTCTTTTGCTTTCAGTGTAGTTAAAGCATATGTCTGTATGTGTGTGTATGCAGACTTTCAGAAGAAGCATAATGTAGTGGAAAAAGCATGGAATGTTGTGTCAAACTTTGGTTTAAATCCTGACTCTGTTATCTAATTTTTGTATAGTTTTTGACAAATTCCTTAACCCAAAGCAAAAAGAATGGCAGCGAGCATGGAATGTATTTAATTGTAGAACTAATCCTAAAGCAAGGGTGGGGATTTGGATGGCATACTATATGCTGTGAAAAAATTTAATTACATACCTATCCAAAACTGGAAGAGGAAGAGGGAAAGAAGGTGGAAGGTAGAGTAAATTCACTTATGGCCTCGTGTAATATATCTGAGTCAAAGGATATATTATTCAACCTGACAAAACAAGTATTTAAAGTATAAGGATTAGCCGGGTGCAGTGGCATGTGCCTGTAATCCCAGCTACTTGGGAGGTTGAGGCAGGAGAATCGCTTGAACCCAGGAGGCAGAGGTTGCAGTGAGCCGAGATCACACCGCTGCACTCCACCCTGGGCAGCAGAGCAAGACTCTGTCTCAAAAAATAAATAAATAAATAAATAAATACAACACAACACAACAAACACAATACAATAGAGTATAAGAACATTAAAATGTACAAAGCTAAAACTAAAAATATAATTTGTTGACCAAAATTGAGCAGTGGAGGGCCAGAAGAAAAAAGCAAGGAAGGGGAAATATGCCAATGTTATCATTTCCTTTTTTATATTTTTATATACTTAAGGGTCCATGTATATATATTATACTTATGGATATATATACATGTATATTATACATGTATATATATTATATACTTAGGGGTCCATGTATATACTTAAGGGTCCATGTATATAATATATCCATGTGTTACATGGATATATTTCATAGTGGTGAAGTCTGGGGCTATTAGTGTACCTATCACCCAAATAGGATATATTGTACCCTATAGGAATTATTCCATCCCTCACCCGCCTCCCACCTTCCCACCTTTTGGAATCTCCGTGTCTATTATTCCTCTCTGTATGTCCACATGTACCCATTGTTTAGCTCCCACTTATAAGTGAGAATATGTGGTTTTTGACTTTCTGTTTCAAGTCATTTCAATTAGAATAATGGCCTCCAGTTCCATCTATGTTGCCATAAAAGACATTATTTCATTATTTTTTATGACTGAGTAGGATTCCATAGTATACATATATACCACATTTTCTTTATCTGCTCATCAGTTGATGGACACTTAGGTTGACTGCATGACTTTGCTAATGTAAACAGCATTAGATAAACATACAAGTGTAGGAGTCTTTTTGATACATGATTTCTTTTTTAGGGGTAGATACCCAGTGATGAGATGACTATATCAAAGCGTAGTTCTTTTTTTACTTCCTTGAGAAATCTTCGTACTGTTTTCTGTAAAGTTGTACTAATTTACATTTCCACTAACAATGTAAAAGTATTCCTTTTCTCTGCATCCTTCCCAATATCTGTTGATTTTTGACTTTTTAATAATATTCATTCTGGCTGGTATAAGTGGTATCTCATTATGGTTTTAATTTGCATTTCTCTGATGATTAGTGATATTGAGCATTTTTCATATGTTTTTTGGCCATTTGTATGTCTTCTTTTGAAAAATGTCTGTTCATGTCCATTGCTTGCTTTTTAATAGGGTTATTTGAGTTTTTTTCCTCTTGATTTGTTTCAGTTCCTTGTAGATTCTGAATATTAGCCCTTTGTCAGATGCAATGTTTGCAAATATCTTCGCCTATTCTGTAGGTTGTCTGTTTACTCTGTTGATTATTTCTTTTGATGTACAAAAGATTTTTAGTTCGATTAAATCCCATTTGCCTATTGTTTTTGTTGTATTTCTTTTTGAGGACTTAGTCATAAATTCTTTGCCTAGGCCAATGTCCAGAATAGTTTTGCCTAGGTTTTCTTCTAGGATTTTTGTAGTTTCAGGTCTTACACTTAAGTCTAATCAATTTTGCATTAACTTTTGTATATGCTGAGAGATGCATGTCCAATTCCATTCTTCTGCATATGACTATTCAATTTTCCCAGTACCATTTATTTAATAGGGTGTACTTCCCCAGTGTATGTTTTTGTCAACTTTGTCAAAGATTATTGGTTGTAGAGGTATGTGGTTTTATTTCTGGGTTATCTGTACTGTTCCATTGATCTGTGTGTCTGTTTTTACGCCAGCATCATGCTGTTTTGGTTAGTATAGCCATAGTATAATTTGAAGTCAGGTAATGTGATACATCTAGATTTATTCTCTTTTGTTTAGGACTGCTTTGGCTATTCAGACTCTTTTTTGGTTTCATATGAATGTTAGCATTGCCTTTTCTAATTCTGTGAAGAATTATACTGGTAATTTGATAGGAATTTCATTGAATCTGTAGATTGTTTTGGGCAGTATGGTCATTTTGATGATACTGGTTCTTCCAATTCATGAGCATAGGATGCTTTTCCATTTGTTTGTGTCATCTCTAATTTCTTTCATCAGTGTTTTGCAGTTCTTTTTGTAGAGATCTTTTAACTCCTTGGTGAAATCTATTCCTAGGTATTTTATTTTATTTTGGTAGCTATTGTAAATGGGATTGAGTTCTTGATTTGGTTCCCAGCTTGATCATTATTTGTATAAAAATGCTACTAATTTTTGTACATTGATTATGTATTCTGAAACTTTACTGAAGTCATTTATCAACTCTAGGAGTCTCTTCAAGGAGTCCTTAGGGTTCTCTAGGCATACGATCATATCATCAACAAACAGAAATAATTCGACTTACTTTTTTCTGATTGAATGACTTGTATTTCTTTCTCTTGCCTGCTTGCCCCAGCTAGGACTTTCAGTTCTATGTTTGAATAGTAGTGGTGAAAGTGGGCATCCTTGTATTGTCCCATTCTAAGGGGTAATGCTTTTAACTTTTCCACATTCACTATGATGTTGGCTATGGGTTTGACATATGTAACCTTCATTATTTTGAGATAAGTTCCTTCTAGGCCTAGTTTTTTGAGGTTTTTTATCATGAAGGGATGCTAGATTTTACGGAATGCTTTTTCTGCATCTATTGATGTGACCATAGGGTTTTTTAAAATTCTGTGTATGTGGTGAGTCACATATGAAAGAACTAAAAGATGTTATCTAAAGAAATAAAGTCTAAAAGTAGTGTGTAAAATTAAACAAATGTAACCTATAAAATAAAAATGTACATTTTCCTAAACATTGTTAAAAAACAAAAAGACGGGGGTGGGGGGGAGGGATAACTTCAGGAGATATACCTAATGCTAAATGACTAGTTAATGGGTGCAGCACACCAGCATGGCACATGTATACATATGTAACTAACCTGCACATTGTGCACATGTACCCTAAAACTTAAAGTATAATAATAAAGAAAAATAAATAAATAAAAATAAAAAAATAAAAAACAAAAAGATACAGTGAAAAATGTAGAGAAATAAATGTTTCTCTTTCATGTATAAGTGTATATATATGTATGTATATATGTGTATGTGCATGTATGTGTGTATAACAGAAGACAAAATATGAAATACTTCTGGACTTCTTTATTATGCAAGATAATGAATACCCTTTACGTTTAAGCCATTTGTATAGAGTTTTTTGAAACTAGCAAAGACATCCCAAATGATTCACCTACCAGCTAAAGAATACCTAATCAGAAGCCCCTTGTAAAGAGTCCAATCCTTCCTTCCAGAGCTAAAAACAAACACATCTGTCATTATGATAGATGTAAAGGAGTTAAATTCTATCTCTAATATAGAAAAATAACTTCAAATTGGCTTATAATGGAATATCCAACCCTATGCTGTAGAAAAAAATCCCTTAAATAAAGCAGTTCAGAAAGGTTGAAAAATAAAAATATAGGCGAAGGTGTATCTGGTAAATGCAAACATAGGCACTCTTTTTTAATAACAAGTGAGCATCATGTCAAGGAAGTCAAGAGAAGAGAGTGTTTCGAGGAAGAAATTTGCAATGATGTTGGTTGTTGCCAGGAAACCAACTAAAATAAGGACAAAGAAGTATTACTTGGATTTAGCCAACAATAAGATTAAATAACCTTGAAAACAATGGTTTTCTTAGAGTGGTGAGTCAAAAGCTTGAGTGTGACGATTTCAAATTCTTTTTTGGGGAACAACTGGGATCAGGCTTGCTTCAGAAAGTTCACAGTAGTGGGCAGGTCCATTTAAAAAATAGTATGTATAGGGCCTAGTAAAAGGAAAGATGAGTGACATGCATATTCTGCTAGCTCAGATGGCTTTTTGAGACCTAATTCTACTTGTGACATCCTCTATAGACAAACATCTAAGTATGAGGACTCAGGAGTGAAAACAATTCTTTTCCATGAGTTGTTACTAACCCCATGGCAGGGGCTGGGCATGGTGGTTCACACCTGTAATCCCAGCACTTTGGGAGGCCAAGGATGGAGGATCACTTGAGCCCAGGAGTTTGAGGCCAACCTGGACAACATGGTAAAACCCTGTCTCTACAAAAATACCAAAAAAAACCAAAAATTAGCTGGGCATGGTGGTGCCCTCCTGAAGTCCCAGCTACTCAGGAATCTGAGGTGAGAGGATTACTTGAGCCTGGGAAGTTGAGGCTGCAGTGAGCCGTGATTGCACCACTGCACTCCAGCCAGAGCAGCAGAGCAAGACCCTGACTCTAATAATAATAAGACAAACAAAACAAAACAAAAAAACAAAAACATCATGGCCGGCACCAGCCACATATACCTTAAGAAAGACCACACTTACCAAGACAGTGCTCTGTCTTGAGTCCAAAAGGGAGAAAGGGAACATCTAGTGTCACTTTCCATTTGTCTCAGCATCTAAATAGTAACTTCTTTTCCTAACATCTAATGTTTGAGTGCTCAATTTGATCAGCCTGCATCAGAGGTTTAGGGAGAAATGGAAAAATCCACTTCTCCATCAAGAGTTCATCCACCCAACTCATATGGCACCCATAATAGCACCCCAATTAAAATTGGGTGTGGTTTTTTTCTGGAGAGTAGGTCTCACTCTGTTGCCCAAGCTAGGGTACAGTGGTGCAATCTCAGCTCACTGCAACCTCCACCTCCCAGGCTCAAGCGATCTTCCTGTCTCAGCCTCCTGAGTAGCTGAGACTACAGATGTGCGCCACCACACCTGGCTTTTTTTTTTTTTTTTTTTTTTTTTCTGTACAGACAAGGTTTCTCCATATTGCCCAGGCTGGTCTTGAACTCCTGACCTCAAGTGATCTGCCCACCTCAGCCTCCCAAAGGGCTGGGATTACAGGCATGAGCCACTGTGCCTGGCCCCAATTAAGATTGTTTTATATATCAATATTAGATTTCCGAACAGCCATCCTGAGTAGGGTTGGGGAAGGTGGGTTGATGTGAGTCGTTAACTGAGGCTTAATTTAGGAGGCAGATTTGAAATGGACCACAAAAGACTGAGAAGGAATTTTGTCGAAGTGGGAGACAAGGCCGCCATAACTGCAGTGAGAAGTAATGAAGGAAGCAATGAAGCTGTGAGGAGGAAAACCCGATGTTCCATCTGAATAGAACAGAGACAGGTAGGGAGCGGGGGGTTTAGGGAGATGTGAAATCAGTATCTAGAGTACGGAATTAGATGCAAGATATGTGGGAAGTTGTCGGGAGGGATAAAGGGTTGGAGAGAAAAACCATCACCTCAGTCAACAAGCATTGTGTTGAGCTTACACCATATGTTTACAGTCGCTAGCAGTTTTGGGGAAGTGCATGTAAACACACAACTAATAATTATGAAGTGTGTATAAAGCCTGACAGTATACAGAAAGGGGAGACTCACAGAGCTGGAATTAATCACCGACTGTTTCTTAGAGGTGAGCCATTTCTGAAAAGAAGAGCTTTCCACATCAACAAGGAGGGAAAGAGACTTTCATGCAGAGAGAACATGAGAGAAAGCACAGATATGAAATTAATAGTAACAGCAATGGTAACCAACACTCATTTCCTAGTTGCCGTGTGCCAGGTGCCTTACATCTCATTTCCTCACAACAGCCTTATGCAATGGGTTATATTATTCCCATTAAACAAATAGGAAACTGAGGTTACAAAAGAGGTTAATGAATTTGACCCCATTCTCAATCCCTGTAGGGTAGAACCTGGATTCAGTCCCAACATCTCCATGTTTAACCACACATACCATTGGCCAGATTCCCACAGAGAAAGGATTTTCCCAGCGGCCAGACTCCAGTGACTGGAAAACAGCTCCAGTCACAAGCCACTGTCCAGTAGTGAAACATGTTTTTTCTTATGGCCACCCTCTTCTTTGTGCTTGAAACGCTTACCCCACAGGGAAGTGTTTAGCAGAAAAGTACCAGTCAATTTTATCTCAATTCTAATAAGACATCTTTGTTTTTTGCCTTCAATCTAGAATGTTACATGATAGACATAGGATTGCTATGTTAATGTTTGGACCACAGCATAGGACAATCTGTACTTTTAAAGTGAAAATAGTAACAACAATAATAATAATAAATAAGCAAAAGGATTGACAGCTAGAAAAACCTCTAGATGCTTATTTTTACTGTGGTAGATTTCTGATTGTCAAAGTAAAATGTCTCCTATTTTATAAGCATTTGACCTATTTGAAAGACATGAAGATTATCTAAGGATTTTTCCTTTGTTAAATTTGCAACCCTGCTTTGACATCCACTCAAATATGTAATAACTTTTTATCATAAAACCTGCAGCAGAAATGAATGCTAATATTTTCATGCAATCCTTCTGGGATTGTGGTGTCTGAATGGATATATCTTTTCTTTGATGTTTTTGGAGCTAGTTTCATGTAATCAGTACCTGTCAGTGGAGCACTGAATATTGGCAGAATAAAAAATTATTCCACATTCTCATTGCTATTAAATACCTCACTCACAGTTTTAGGTCATCCATGATTTGATTCAGAAGTGAAAATCCCAATATAGAGGGTATTTTTTTTGCCAATGGTAGTATCTAGTCGTTGGAAAGGTTATATCTCGAAAATTTTTTTTCTCTGTCTCTCTCTGTCACTCTCCTCTCTTTCACTCTCACGCACTTGCACTCATGTGCGTGAGCGCACACACACACACACACATATGCTTTCACATGAAGTTTCTCAAGTCCATCCCATTGACTATTTGGACAGCTCTTCCCTGCCTCTCAGAAGGCCAATGGATGAACCATAGTTCTATAGAATTATCTTGACCTCCGATAGCTTCCCCCAGGCTCTCAGAACTGGATCTGACCAGGCCATTAGCACAAACAACTTCCATCTCAGCCTGCCCTGACCTGGCAACCAGATGGTCCCAAGTAAGATATTTTTCCTTAAAGTGAGCTTAGTCCAGATTCAGTGGAGCACGTTGCCTTCTTTTAAAACATCTCACTCATCCCCATAGGTGAGACTGTGGTGCTGGGAAAATTTATATGTGTACCTGAGAACTAGTGTTTAACAAGGGCCCATAGCAGGTGGAGTCAAGTGTGCTACTGTGCTTTTTAGAATGTTTACTTTCTCATTACTTTATAAACTATAAAACAGAACAATCATCATGTAACTTGAAATGATCAAATTAAACAAAGATCTTTAACAAGCATGTGTCACCAAGTTCATATGACAGTACTTTAATGCTAGCAAATTTCAACAACAAACAACTCTCTTCACCAAACAAAATCTTGTAGATCAGTTGAGCAAAGTGCCAAGCCATTTACAAATTTTTTTCTTCTGAATTTAACTGTCTCTGCAAAGGAGCATACATTTTTCAGAAATTTTCTTCTTTAACCCTATTAAAGATCCCTCCTCGTGGAATTCTTAAAAGGGATATAAGGTAAATCAGAATTATTTTAATTAAAGGATATTAAAATAGCAACAATGTAAATAATCACTGTATGAATTGCTGTCAAGGATATTGTCTATAGTCAGCTTTCCCAGGCAGCTTTGCCCAAGACAAATAGGAGGAACAAATACAAATCACATATGTAATCTTAAATTTTTTAGTAGCCACATTAAAAAGTAAAAAGAAACAGGTGAAATTAATTTTAATAATACATTTAATTTAACCTAGTCTATTAAAAATTTTATTTCCATGTGCAATCAATATAAAGTAATTATTAAGGATTTATTTTACATTTTTTATACTTAGTCTTCAAAATCAGGTGCATATTTTACACTTACTGCACATCTCAATTCAGACAAGCCACATTGCAAGTGCTCAGTAGCCACATGTGGCTAGTGGCTACTGGGGTTGTAGGGAAGTTCAGTGGAACATGCATACTGTGCTGCTGTCTTAGGTGATAGGAATAAATAAAAAAGATGAATAAAACATGACTCCTGCCCTCAGTGAGCAAAGTGCAGGGATTCTTTCAGGCTGGGACAGATTCTTTCCTTGCGTGTACAGTGCTGCCTCTATGGACCTTTCTGCCAATTAGAGACCCTCTGTGTTCCCAAGTCACTGGACTTCCATATGTCAGAAAATGGGCATAATGTGCTGATTTTATTAAAACAAGACGCTCTACCACTATCAACTGAAAAATTGTTTTAATAAATACACCAACCTATTATGTCTATGAAGTAAATGATATTCCCCATCCAACCCACCTCCCTCCGCCCCACCTCCTACCACTTGGATGTGGCGCCTTTGAGCAGTACGCAACCTGCACAGCCATACCAGAAGACCTGCTTATTCCCTTTGCCTAGTACTGGCCATGGCACCTTTTCCTTTCCCCAGTTCTTTCCCTGCCTGTACTCCAACCAACGTCAGAACAGGACCATCTAATTAAAAGCCCACTAACCATCTCACACTGACTGCAGCACAAACTGTGAAGCAGGGTACATTTTTTTGGTGTCCTAGCCTTTTTTAGCCACCCCCAACATGCTATCCTCTTTCAGGGAGGGCCAATGGATGAGCTTTTCTTCTAAAGAACTGTCTTGGGCCAGGCATGGTGGCTCACGCCTGTCATCCCAGCACTTTGGGAGGCCGAGGTGGGCAGATCACGAGGTCACGAGATCGAGATCATCCTGGCTAACACGGTGAAACCCCATCTCTACTAAAAATACAAAAAATTAGCTGGGCGTGGTGGTGGGCACCTGTAGTCCCAGCTACTCAGGAGGCTGAGGCAGGAGAATCACTTGAACCCGGGAGGTGGAGCTGGCAGTGAGCCGAGATTGCACCACTGCACTCTAGCCTGACAGAGCAAGACTCCGTCTCAAAAAAAAAAAAAAAAAAAACTGTCTTGACCTCCCATAGCCTCTTCCAGACTCTGTAAGATGGGCAAGTGTAGGAAATGTCCTCTTAACACAACCTGCTTTCAGAGAAGAGTCAGATGGCAGTCCTTAATTCTGTGTCATGCATTGAATACAATACTTCATCTTAAGGGTTTTCACATTATAAGCACCATTTGTACTATAGAGATGAAAGTCTACATTCTCAGTTAAATTAAATGTCAGGTAAGTAAGAGGTGGGGCATCTCCCTGGAGCCGCTGAAATGCTGCTAATCAAGTGGAAACCTACCTTGTCTCTGATTGTGGCCCTGCCAGAGAGGCCCATCGGCTGCACTTCCTTCCTTTGCATTCCTCTATACCTTTGCCACATCATGTTGGGATCCCTGTTTATATTGATTCTTAAAGTGTTTCTTCCCTGTGCCTGCTCACTTCGTGGGTATAATTTTTGAGTTTACCTCATATTCAGAGTATTTACATTGTTTGTACTAGTTTCCAGAAAAGCAGTGATATGGTCCAAGATTGAATATTAACATCATAAATTATACTTATCATCTAGCAAACTTTATTATGGTTGAATTAGCTAGCAGTAGCCTTGTTTTTAAGTAGATGAGTCTTCTTGATTCTGAAGCTGAGGAAATAGCATGACATTTCAAGTTTTTAATTTAAAACTTTGCTACCTTTTTTTTAAAGGATAAGAATAAGTGGAACCGACTTATCCACTAGGCATAGTAGCCATTATGCCCAGGACCCACAGGACCTCTAGGGGCCAGTGGAAATGTTTACATTTCTTTTAAATTCAGAAGGGAAAAAAAATAAATGTACCCCAACCTGAAGTACATTTGCCTTTATACCAATGCAATGGTAAATATGACTTTTTTTTCTTTGCAGAGGAATGGGCTCACAAAGACAAAAGTGTCTAGAGCCCATGAAAGTAATGATGCAGCCCTACTCCGTATGGTATCAAAACTCCTGTGAACAGTCTCAGGAGCAGGGTACATTTTCTTCTGTTCTTCCTAAGCAGAGTAAATTTTCTTCAAAATTTCCCTCCAACTATGTGTGAAAACTTCTCTAGTGAAATGATGAACTGGAGGTTTCCTAAGAATCTAATAGGTCTTAGAAGGCATAGAACTTGAGTCTGAGCTCCCTAACTTCTTTTCAAATCCTCAAAGAACATTCGCTTCCAGCTAATACAGTTCAAGATCAAAGGAGATTTTGAACATGCTAATTAAAATGTTAGATATTGCTTGAACAGAAGAAAATTAACTTTTATGCACACATTTTGAGAGTGATTCATGAATGAGTAGGATAACATGTCAGACTGTATCTCAGACCCCAGGTGCTTATCAAAAGCTAAGTATTTACTTATACCAAACCAAAATCACTAAAATATAACTTTGTTATAAAAATGAAGTCAAAAGAAAATCAGCAGGTCAGGTAAATATTGGCATTCTGGCCTCCGTTCGCCTAAGGTTGCTTTTGATGCTATGGAATGTATGAGTTGCTGACAAAAATATCTGTGGCAAGGGGCCAGCAAGCGTGTGAGGCAAGAATGTCAAAAAAGGATGTCAATTTCTTAAAGGCAAAACTGGAATTTGAGCAGTAGGCCCTGGTTCCTAGTCAGCAGGCCTTACCTTAGCAAGGCTTAGGCAGTCCCTATGCAGGGCTGGATGGGGATGGTGCAAAAGCAGGTGTCAGAAGGTGAACTGAAGTAGGAGACAGGGTTTTGAAGATGCCTAGAGGTCCAGGTGGGTGCATTGGCAAACATGAGGTAGCTGGGGAGCACTGTAAAAAAGCCACAGGTGGTGCTCCACGAAAGTAGACAGATGTGGCTAGCTGGCAGCAGCCACACCTGGAGTAGCTTGACCAAAGCCATAGATGGTGGTTTGAGAGATGAGCTGTGGCACAACTATGGCTACACAACTAGGGCCTACAGCAGTTCTGCTCCTTCACACCATCAGTCACCATCCATGCTTCATCTCCTAGGACACTAATGCCACCTGGAGGTACCCCAAAGCTGCACATAATTGGTGCCCACCAGATTATGGCTGGTTTTCATGTAGGCTGAAAATGTGCAGACATAAAAAGGTTGAGACTTGTGCAAAAATCACATAGTTTCCTAAGGCTATAGATTCTGAACTGGATGTTCAGAAATGGATGTTATATCATCATTGTCATTTGAAGAGATAATTAAAGATTATGCAACCCAAACATGTTGAAGAAAGATATAGGTTTGTTAGGCAGTTAATCAAAACACTATATTATTTTCCTGGATTTTATCTTTGGGATATTTTTAACTTTTTAAAATTTGTAATGTGCTGTCATATCTTTTTTGCCCTTATATTTGTGTTTGTAAATTTGTGTTTTTCCTAAAGACCTTCCCCTAGTTGTATAAGCTGAAAGATCCACAAACCCTGCACCTGCTCCTGACTGTCTGCATACCCACCCTCAAACTGTGAGATTCAATTCCTGCATCATTCCAGCAGACAGAAATTTCTCTTTGGTCACTTAGCAAAAGAATTCAAATGAAGGATGCTATGAATGTTTGTGATTGAAAAGTGACATGCCTTTCTGTCAGTCAAGAATTATCATAAAGTTCAGTTGTTTAAGCTATACTGATTTAAGTGTTTAGCCACTACTTATCCTAAGGAGATGGGTAAGAGGCAGAAATGAAGTAGTGAGTATGTTTAAAATACATTCCCGACTTTACTCAGGAGCCAAGATGGCTGAATAGGAACAGCTCCGGTCTACAGCTCCCAGCGTGAGCGACGCAGAAGATGGGTGATTTCTGCATTTCCATCTGAGGCACCGGGTTCATCTCACTAGGGAGTGCCAGACAGTGGGTGCAGGACAGTGGGTGCAGCGCACCATGCACGAGCTGAAGCAGGGCGAGGCATTGCCTCACTTGGGAAGCGCAAGGGGTCAGGGAGTTCCCTTTCCTAGTCAAAGAAAGGGGTGACAGACGATACCTGGAAAATTGGGTCACCCCCACCCTAATACTGCGGTTTTCCAACGGGCTTAAAAAACGGGACACCAGGAGATTATATCCTGCACCTGGCTCAGAGGGTCCTACGGCCACGGAGTCTCGCTGATTCCTAGCACAGCAGTCTGAGATCAAACTGCAAGGCGGCAGCGAGACTGGGGGAAGGGCACCTGCCATTACCCAGGCTTGATTAGGTAAACAAAGCAGCCTGGAAGCTCAAACTGGGTGGAGCCCACCACAGCTCAAGGAGACCTGCCTGCCTCTGTAGGCTCCACCTCTAGGGGAAGGGAAAAAACAAACAAAAAGACAGCAGTAACCTCTGCAGACTTAAATGTCCCTGTCTGACAGCTTTGAAGAGAGTAGTGGTTCTCCCAGCATGCAGCTGGAGATCTGAGAACGGGCAGACTGCCTCCTCAAGTGGGTCCCTGACCGCCGAGCAGCCTAACTGGGAGGCACCCCCCAGTAGGGGCAGACTGACACCTCACATGGCCAGGTACTCCTCTGAGACAAAACTTCCAGAGGAACGATCAGGCAGCAGCATTTGCGGTTCACCAAGATCTGCTGTTGTACAGCCACCACTGTTCTGCAGCCACCACTGCTGATACCCAGGCAAACAGCATCTGGAGTGGACCTCTAGCAAACTCCAACAGACTTGCAGCTGAGGGTCCTGTCTGTTAGAAGGAAAACTAACAAACAGGAAGTACACACCAAAAACCCTTCTGTATGTCACCATCATCAAAGACCAAAAGTAGATAAAACCACAAAGATGGGGAAAAAACAGAGCAGAAAAACTGGAAACTCTAAAAAGCAGAGCGCCTCTCCTCCACCAAAGGAACGCAGCTCCTTACCAGCAACGGAACAAAGCTGGATGGAGAATGACTTTGACAAGTTGAGAGAAGAAGGCTCCAGCCAATCAAACTACTCCAAGCTACAGGAGGAAATTCAAACCAATGGCAAAGAAGTTAAAAACTGTGAGAAAAAAATTAGGCAAATGGATAACTAGAATAACCAATGCAGAGAAGTCCTTAAAGGAGCTGATGGAGCTGAAGCCAAGGCTTGAGAACTACGTGAACAATGCAGAAGCCTCAGGAGCCAATGCAATCAACTGGAAGAAAGTGTATCAGTGTTGGAAGATGAAATGAATGAAATGAAGTGAGAAGGGAAGTTTGGAGAAAAAAGAATAAAAAGAAACAAACAAAGCTTCCAAGAAATATGGGACTATGTGAAAAGACCAAATCTACATCTGATTGGTGTACCTGAAAGTGATGGGGAGAATGGAACCAAGCTGGAAAACACTCTGCAGGATATTATCCAGGAGAACTTCCCCAATCTAGCAAGGCAGGCCAACATTCAGATTCAGGAAATACAGAGAACGTCACAAAGATACTCCTCGAGAAGAGCAACTCCAAGACACATAATTGTCAGATTCACCAAAGTTGAAATGAAGGAAAAAATGTTAAGGGCAGCCAGAAAGAAAGGTCGGGTTACCCACAAAGGGAAGCCCATCAGATTAACAGTGGATCTCTCGACAGAAACTCTACAAGCCAGAAGAGAGTGGGGGCCAATATTTAACATTCTTAAAGAAAGAATTTTCAACCCAGAATTTCATATCCAGCCGAACTAAGCTTCATAAGTGAAGGAGAAATAAAATACTTTACAGACAAGCAAATGCTGAGAGATTTTGTCACCACCAGGCCTGCCCTACAAGAGCTCCTGAAGGAAGCACTAAACATGGAAAGGAAAAACCGGTACCAGCCACTGCAAAAACATGCCAAAATGTAAAGACCATCAAGGCTAGGAAGAAACTGCATCAACTAATGAGCAAAATAACCAGCTAACATAATGACAGGATCAAATTCACACATAACAATATTAACTTTAAATGTAAATGGGCTAAATCCTCCAATTAAAAGACACAGACTGGCAAATTGGATAAAGAGTCAAGACCCATCAGAGTGCTGTATTCAGGAAACCCATCTCACATGCAGAGACACACATAGGCTCAAAATGAAGGGATGGAGGAAGATCTACCAAGCAAATGGAAAACAAAAAAAGGCAGAGGTTGCAATCCTAGTCTCTGATAAAACAGACTTTAAACCAACAAAGATCAAAAGAGACAAAGAAGGCCATTACATAATGGTAAAGGGATCAATTCAACAAGAAGAGCTAACTATCATAAATAAATATGCACCCAATACAGGAGCACCCAGATTCATAAAGCAAGTCCTGAGTGACCTACAAAGAGACTTAGACTCCCACACAATAATAATGGGAGACTTTAACACCCCACTGTCAACATTAGACAGATCAACGAGACAGAAAGTCAACAAGGATACCCAGGAATTGAACTCAGCTCTGCACCAAGCGGACCTAATAGACATCTACAGAACTCTCCACCCCAAATCAATAGAATATACATTTTTTTTCAGCACCACACAACACCTATTCCAAAACGGACCACATAGTTGGAAGTAAAGCTCTCCTCAGCAAATGTAAAAGAACAGAAATTATAACAAACTGTCTCACAGACCACAGTGCAATCAAACTAGAACTCAAGATTAAGAAACTCACTCAAAACCACTCAACTACATGGAAACTGAACAACCTGCTCCTGAATGACTACTGGGTACATAACAAAATGAAGGCAGAAATAAAGATGCTCTTTGAAACCAACGAGAACAAAGACACAACATACCAGAATCTCTGGGACACATTCAAAGCAGTATGTAGAGGGAAATTTATAGCACTAAATGCCCAGAAAAGAAAGCAGGAAAGATCCAAAATTGACACCCTAACATCACAATTAAAAGAACTAGAAAAGCAAGAGCAAACACATTCAAAAGCTAGCAGAAGGCAAGAAATTACTAAAATCAGAGCAGAACTGAAGGAAATAGAGACCCAAAAAACCCTTCAAAAAATTAATGAATCCAGGAGCTGGTTTTTTGAAAGGATCAACAAAATTGATAGACTGCTAGCAAGACTAATAAAGAAGAAAAGAGAGAAGAATCAAATAGACGCAATAAAAAATGATAAAGGGGATATCATCACTGATCCCACAGAAATACAAACTACCATCAGAGAATACTACCAACACCTCTATGCAAATAAACTAGAAAATCTAGAAGAAATGGATAAATTCCTCGACACATACACCCTCCCAAGACTAAACCAGGAAGAAGTTGAATCTCTGAATAGACCAATAACAGGCTCTGAAATTGTGGCAATAATCAATAGCTTACCAACCAAAAAGAGTCCAGAACCAGATGGATTCACAGCTGAATTCTACCAGAGGTACAAGGAGGAGCTGGTAACATTCCTTCTGAAACTATTCCAATCAATAGAAAAAGAGGGAATCCTCCCTAATTCATTTTATGAGGCCAGCATCATCCTGATACCAAAGCCTGGCAGAGATACAACAAAAAAAGAGAATTTTAGACCAATATCCTTGATGAACATTGATGCAAAAATCCTCAATAAAATACTGGCAAACCGAATCCAGCAGCACATCAAAAAGCTTATCCACCATGATCAAATGGGCTTCATCCCTGGGATGCAAGGCTGGTTCAACATACATAAATCAATAAATGTAATCCAGCATATAAACAGAACCAAAGACAAAAACCACATGATTATCTCAATAGATGCAGAAAAGGCCTTTGACAAAATTCAACAACACTTCATGCTAAAAACTCTCAATAAATTAGGTATTGGTGGGACGTATCTCAAAATCATAAGAGCTATCTATGACAAGCCCACAGCAAATATCATGTTGAATGGGCAAAAACTGGAAGCATTCCCTTTGAAAACTGGCACAAGACAGGGATGCCCTCTCTCACCACTCCCATTCAACATAGTGTTGGAAGTTCTGGCCAGGGCAATGAGGCAGGAGAAGGAAATAAAGGGTATTCAATTAGGAAAAGAGGAAGTCAAATTGTCCCTGTTTGCAGATGTCGTGATTGTCTATCTAGAAAACCCCAATGTCTCAGCCCAAAATCTCCTTAAGCTGATAAGCAATTTCAGCAAAATCTCAGGATACAAAATCAATGTACAAAAATCACAAGCATTCTTATACACCAATAACAGACAAACAGAGAGCCAAATCATGAGTGAACTCCCATTCACAATTGCTTCAAAGAGAATAAAATACCTAGGAATCCAACTTACAAGGGACATGAAGGACCTCTTCAAGGAGAACTACAAACCACTGCTCAATGAAATAAGAGGATGCAAAGAAATGGAAGAACATTCCATGCTCATGGGTAGGAAGAATCAATATTATGAAAATGGCCATACTGCCCAAGATAATTTACAGATTCAATGCCATCCCCATCAAGCTACCAATGACTTTCTTCACAGAATTGGAAAAAACTACTTTAAAGTTCATATGGAACCAAAAAAGAGCCTGCATCACCAAGTCAATCCTAAGCCAAAAGAACAAAGCCAGAGGCATCATGCTACCTGACTTCAAACTATACTACAAGGCTACAGTAACCAAAACAGCATGGTACTGGTACCAAAACAGAGATATAGATCAATGGAACAGAACAGAGCCCTCAGAAATAATGCCGCATATCTACAACCATCTGATTTTTGACAAACCTGACAAAAACAAGCAATGGGGAAAGGAATCCCTATTTAATAAATGGTGCTGGGAAAACTGGCTAGCCATATGTAGAAAGCTGAAACTGGATCCCTTCCTTACACTTTATACAAAAATTAATTCAAGATGGATCAAAGACTTACATGTTAGACCTAAAACCATAAAAACCCTAGAAGAAAACCTAGGCAATACCATTCAGGACATAGGCATGGGCAAGGACTTCATGTCTAAAACACCAAAAACAAAGGCAACAAAAGCCAAAATTGACAAATGGGATCTAATTAAACTAAAGAGCTTCTGCACAGCAAAAGAAACGACCATCAGAGTGAACAGGCAACCTACAAAATGGGAGAAAATTTTCGCACCCTACTCATATGACAAAGGGCTAATATCCAGAATCTACAATGAACTCAAAACAAATTTACAAGAAAAAAACAAACAACCCCATCAAAAAGTGGGCAAAGGATATGAACAGACACTTCTCAAAAGAAGATATTTATGCAGCCAAAAAACACATGAAAAAATGCTCACCATCACTGGCCATCAGAGAAATGCAAATCAAAACCACAATGAGATACCATCTCACACCAGTTTGAATGGCCATCATTAAAAAGTCAGGAAACAACAGGTGCTGGAGAGGATGTGGAGAAATAGGAACACTTTTACACTGTTGGTGGGACTGTAAACTAGTTCAACCATTGTGGAAGTCAGTGTGGCGATTCCTCAGGGATCTAGAACTAGAAATACTATTTGACCCAGCCATCCCATTACTGGGTATATACCCAAAGGATTATAAATCATGCTGCTATAAAGACACATGCACACGTATGTTTATTGCAGCACTATTCACAATAGCAGACTTGGAACCAACCCAAATGTCCAACAATGATAGACTGGATTAAGAAAATGTGGCACATATACACCATGGAATACTATGCAGCCATAAAAAATGAAGAGTTCATGTCCTTTGTAGGGACATGGATGAAACTGGAAACCATCATTCTCAGCGAACTATCACAAGGACAAAAACCAAACACCACATGTTCTCACTCATAGGTGGGAATTGAACAATGAGAACACATGGACACAGGAAGGGGAATATCACACTCTGGGGACTGTTGTGGGGTGGGGGGAGGGGGGAGGGATAGGAGATATACCTAATGCTAAATGACGAGTTAATGGGTGCAGCACACCAACATGGCACATGTATACATATGTAACAGACCTGCACATTGTGCACATGAACCCTAAAACTTAAAGTATAATAATATTAAAATAAGAAAAAAAAGAAAAAATGCTTTACTCAAAAATATGCCTAAATACAACAGGCTTCCTTCTCTTGAGTTTTCTTTTCTTTTTTTTTTTTTTTTTTTGAGATGGAGTCTTGCTCTTCTCACCCAGCTGGAGTGCAATGGCATGATCTTGGCTCACTGCAACCTCCACCTCCTGAGTTCAAGCAATTCTGCTGCCTCAGCCTCCTGACTAGCTGGGATTACAGACACCTGCCACCATGTCCGACTAATTTTTGTATTTTTAGTAGAGAGAGGGTTTCACCATGTTGGCCAGGCTGGTCTTGAACTCCTAACATCGTGATCCTCCCGCCTCAGCCTCCCAAAGTGCTGGGATTACAGGCATGAGCCACCACGCCTGGCCCTCGAGTTTTCTAAATTACGTTAGATGGCTGAAAAATTACATTATCTGATGTGATTCTAAATGTATTTAGAGGAAACATTTAAGACAATTATAAAAAGGAGACAGTAAAGAGATATAAGGGTAAATTACATTTATTGTCTTAGATTATTGATTTGAGACTTTTCATCATTTATAATAAATGCACTTAAGTTTAACCTATGCTATAAATTTCCCTTATAGCCCTGCTTTAGCTGTGTCATAAAATTTTATATGCTATATTTTCATTTTGATTCAGTTCAATATATTTTTAAATTTCCCTTCAGACTTATCTGGCCCATAGATTATGAGGAAGTGTGTTGTTTAGTTTACAAATGTTTGGAGAACATTTTGCTGTTATTGATTTCTAGTTTGATTTTGTTATGGTAAAAAAAAAACACTATATGATTTCAATTCTTTGAAATTTATTGAGCTTTGTTTTATAACAAGGATATGGTCTATCTTGACATTTGTTCCAGAAACACTTGAAAGGAATGTTAAGTCTGCTGTTGTTGGGTAGAGTATTTTATAAATGTTGATTAAATCCTTTTGGTTGATAGTAAAAAAAAAAATCCCAGCCAATATGACTGTAATTTTACATCATGATCACCAACTCATGGTGTATTCCTCATTAGGAAAAACTCCATTAGTCTTTTCTGTCTAGCTTCTCCATGTCACTTAGAGATATGTGGGCAACTGAGATGTGAGAGGTAGAATGACCCCTAGCTTGCTGTGTAGCTATGAGAGGAGACCAAGCCTAGTTTCCCCATATCTAAATCCAGTCATTCTAGCTGTTGTCTAAACAATATCAATATATAAAGATGGGATCATGGGAGTGATCCACTTTCCTCTGGTTCTCTTCACTGTCTGAAGTGTTTTGAACTAAAAGCTGGTGCTATGTTTCAAAACCCATTCCCTGTAGATTAAGGACTAACAACTGAGAGCCTTAACCTCAGCCCTGTCTTGGTTCACAACTCATTCCTACAGTTCTTACCACCTCCTCTCCATCCCAGGGTTCCATACCCCCAGTAAACTAAATCTAGTGCATAATGATGATCATGATGATTATTGTAATAACTGATATTAATTGAATACTTACTAGAATACATTATTCTCAATACTTTTTTTGGATTATCACATTAATCATCACAACCTCAGTATGAGATAGGTACTATTATTATTACTGTTTTACCAATGGGGAACCTGAGACTAAGAGAGATTACTAAACCAAATTCTTTGCTATAGACACTATAATGTGTGTTAAGTGAGTGAATGACATAAGATAGAGTATGCCTGGAGATCACTGAAATAGAGATTTCACAAATAGAGGTTGAATAGAATGTAAGGAGATGGGTGGATTAGGTGAAAAATGAGATCCTCCAGTTAGTTGGGACATAACTTGGAGAGCAAATGTATAAAACTTGGATCCATAGGTGTGTATGGAGGGGGGATTGTTGACAGGTAAATGTAATTGTGCTATTTTGCACATTGTGGCTATTGAACTGTCTTCAGTGGTTTTCCATTAGCAGTAGGTTTTTTCCCCAGATGATTTTTTTCCCTGATATTTAACTTGAAAATAGTAACAAAACCAGCAGCCAAAAGCTGGCTTACCATTTCACTTAATCTCATCATCATGACTATTTACTAAAATAAGTTGAAGATAATTATTTTAGGGTTTATGTTAAAAAATAATCAAAACTATGAAATTATCACTGCCATGTAAGTAAGCTCATCATCTGTTAGGTCTTTTGATTTAATCTCTGCATCATGTTCCTCTTTGCCATACATTTTTTATTATCACTTTTCAGACTTCTTAACACTGTCTTTTTGCTTTAAAAAGCCTAATGTTCTTTAAATGCATTTCTCCTTTTGCTTGTCCTAGTCATCATGAATAAATTGTGTATGTATGAAGATGTCAGTATACATAGATGAATGATGTGAATCAGAATACATTAAACTGACACTGTCAGTCTTCTTTCAACACCAACCTCACAAGCATAAATTTCTGTTTTTTTTTTTAAGAAAAACAATCTTGCTACCAAAAGACTTAACTGTTTAAGACCTGTTTTCTGGGGTCATATTTCAAGTAAGTGTCAAAACTTGCAATTTAAGGAATGAGAAAAAAGTTTATACTTTGAAAAGTATCAAAAAAAAGTACTTTTTTCTTTAATATTCAGGATGGATGGGTTCAACCCAAAGGTACCACATGAGCACAGATGGAGAGACAGTGCAAGGGGGCTTTTGCAAAGGAGTTTTTATGCAGTTAATCTTATTTAGCATTGGCTTTCATTATAAAATTAGGGGGAGTTTTCCTGGATGAAAATGGCCCCTAGATATAATGAAATCATACTGAAGAATTGAGAGATTCTTTATACAAAAGATTCTTTAAAATAACCCTTTGATTAAATATTAACAATAATTAAAATTATGAACATAATTTAAATACTAATGCTTAAACTTTTTCAACAGCTAATATTTAACAACCATCAGTGAATTAATATTTTGTTTCTGTATATTTAACTAATGAAACAGTCTATTAAAAACACAAAGATAAGAATATGGTACTTGCTGAACCGGTGAAGTACCAAATATTGTTGGGCATTCACTCTTCAAGTTTAGCAGCCATACACCTGGAGGGAAGGCAGGCTGCTACCTGCCACAGTTCACAAAACAAGAAGAAAGACAAGTAGATTATTTTTCTTGACATGGATTTATTATTTGATTTGGTGAGTTTCCCAATTTGAAATTATATTAAGTCAATAAAGCAACAAATTTCTTACAAATATGACAAGGATTCACAAAATTATATTTATGATGAATTTCCATTGATACACCAATTTGCCTTTACTTCAAATTCCAACATTTACAGGAGATAGTAAACATGAAGTTTTAATTGACACTGAAGAAAAACAGTGACAGCTAAGATAAAAGAGCTCTTACTTTTTCAGGTATTTAAGGATAAAAAGGTTACAGTTTACTTTCAAAGTCCTTTCCACACACAGTATTATTTAACATATTTCTTTCTTTTCTACTCTTTGAAGCTCCCATCTTCCTCAAAGGACTTGAGAGCTGGAAAATAAATAAAGCAAGTTGTATAGAGAGGTGGAAGAGTGGGGCTACAAAGCTTTGGGCTGAGATTTCATTAGCCTGGGAGTTGTCAATAACAAGTAAGCCTTCTGACTGCAATTCTTTTTGATTAAGCATTAAAAGAAATTAATACGTAGCCAAATTGATTATACTCCCAAATCTTATGATGTGAAGCCATTAGTCTTGGAAACACATGTGGCGAGCTATCTTCCTGTAGATTATATTTGGAGAAGAGATATTGAAATTCATAAATGATTTGTGAGATCATAAAAATTGCTATACATAATTCATTGGAAAAAGTTTGCTTATGGCTTAAACTGAAATCATCATTTTAAAAAATGCATATGCCTCCCAAACCTATTCATTTGCATATATGATCCATATTTTCTTTTTTAAACTTATAGAAGTGCTTAAAAAACAAGTGTCATAAAAGTTAACTTTCTCTGGTTATTTTACATTTTGTAATTACAAAACACTAGATTTTCGTGTATCCTAAATCTCTCTTAAACACTAGTATTTCATTGTCTAAACAATGAAATGAAAATTAAAATAAATTAATCATTTTGACTTTTTAAAAGAGCCACATCAGTGATTTTTAAAACAACATGAGGTAACTAACTGAATATGTTTCTCTATACGAATTTCCTCAATGGGTTCAGCCAGTCAGTCATATTTATCTGTGTTGCCTGAAAATAGCTCTTTTGCTACATTTTTGTAAACACTTTGGCATTAAATTTTCATATAACAGAACCACAATCAAAGTTAACATCATATTAGCTGATTTTTAAAATTTGAAATAAATTGGAAAGTAAAAGAGAACAGTGGCAGAAAATTAAGACTAAGATAAGCATTAATAAAGAAGAGAACAGAGAGTTAGATTATTGCCTTGAAACCATATGGTCAGATGTTAGACTGGTTTTTTAACAATACTTTTACTGTTATTATAACCTGCAGAACCATACGTAAAACACTGGCTACCAAGGACAAGAAAGCCAGAACATTGTTGGCTCATCAGGGTCCTTCTGAATCACTTAACGAGTCACAACTTACTCTCTTCAGAGGTGGCCAACAATCTGACATTTGCAGTTATCACTTCTTTGCTTTTCTTTATATTTTTACCATCATTATATGTAGCCCTAGTAATATAGATTCGTTTTGCCTTGTTTTTTAATTCTATAAAAATGGAATCATACATATGAATTTCTGCTTTTTGCCCTTCCTTATGATTTTAGATCCATCCATGTTATCGTGTGTACCTAGAGTCTGTTCCCATCCAGTGCTATATAGTATTTCATTGTGTGAATATATCACAATCTATTTATCCATTCCATTGTAAATGGACATTTGGTTAATTTCAGTTATATGGTTTGGCTGTATCCCACCCAAAATCTCATCTTGAATTGTAATCTCCATAATCCCCATGTGTCAAGGGCCAGAACAAGGGTGGAAGTAATTGGATCATGGGGGCAGTTTCCCCCATGCTGTTCTCATGACACTGAGTGAGTCTCATGAGGTCTGATGGTTTTATTAGCATGTGGCATTTCTCCTGCTTGTGCTCACTCCATCCTGCCACCCTGTGAAGAAGGTGCCTGCTTCTCCTTTGCCTTCTGCCATGATTGTAAGTTTCCTGAGGCTTCCCCAGCAATGCAGAATTGTGAGTCAACTAAACCTCTTTCCTTTATAAATTACCCAGTCCTGGGCATTTCTTCATAGCATTGTGATAACAGACTAATACATTCAGTTTAAGGCATTTTAAATGAATATTTCTGTGAACATTCTGGAGCACATATCCTGGTACATATAAACATGTGTATCTTTAGGTATATCCTACCTAAGGGGAAGATTCAGGGTCATACAGCAATATGTATCTATTCAACTTTAATAATGCCTCCTTGTTTTCCAGAGTGATATATCCATTTATGCTGCCACCAGTGGTGGGAGTTTCTGTGGCTCCAACACTTAGAACTGTTAGACATGAAACTTTTCACCAATCTGATAGTTAAGCAAAGGTATCCAATTGTGCTTTTAATTAGCCTTTTCCTTATCTTCAGTGAAATTAAATGCCTTTTAAATATGTTTATTCACCAGCTGGATGCCTGTTTTGTAAATGCCTATTGAAGTCACTTGCCATTTTTCTGTAGGCTTCTCTATCTTTTTTTATAGGTTTGTATAGATAGTTTATATATTTTGAACAAGAGCCTTTTGTTGTTTATATGTCTTAGAAATATCTTCACTCTGAGACTTGACTTTCGGCTTTCTTGTGTCATTATTTTTAATTCCCATGTTATTTTTTATTTTTTGCAAACATAGTTTACCAATAGGACATTGAATGGAATATTATACCTAGAACATGAACCAGTAAACTCTGCATCATTTCTCAAACATTCATTTTTGTCTTCTACATGCATTTCTTATTATGATTAAAAAGAAAACATATAACATGATATCCACCCCCAAACAAATTGATAAATGAACAGTACAGTATTATGAACTATAAACACAACATTTTACAGCAAATACCTAAACTGTTTTCACCTTGCATGACTGAAACTTTATATTCATTCAACAATTCTCCGTTTCCTCATCCTCCAGCCCCTGGCAATCACCATTCTACTTTTGGCTTCAATAAGTTTGATTAATTTAGGTACTTCATGCAAATGAAATCATATAGTATCTTTCCTTCTGTGACTGACTTATTTCACTTAGTATCATGCCCTCAAGTTTCATTCATATTGTGGCATATGACAGAATTCCCTTAATTTTATGGCAGAATAATATTCCATTGTATGTGTAAACTTTTTTTACACATTCATCTATCAGTGTTCATTAAGATGGTTTCTACCTGTTGGCTTGAGGAACCTCCACACTGTTTTCCATAGTGGCTACACTATTTTACATTCCTACCAAAAGTACACAAGAGTTCCAACTTTTCCACATCCTCAATACTTGTTTTCTGGGTTTTTTGTTTTGCCACTTTTTTTTAATTGTCATTTGTATGTTTTTATTGTTTGCTAGTAATGGCCATACTAACAGGGATGAGGTGATATCTCACTGTGGTTTTGATTTGCATTTCCCTGATTAGTGACATTGAGCATCTTTTCATATATCTGTTGGCCATTTCTATGTTGTCTTTGGATAAATGTCTGTTCAGGTTACTTGCCCATTTTTTAAATCGAGTTATTTGCTTATTTGCTATCAATATTAAGTTATAGGAGTTCCTTCTATAATTTGGGTATTAACCATTTATCAGAATTGTGGTTTGCAAATTTTTCTCCCAGTCTGTAGGATGTATTTAGACTCTGTTGTTTCCTTTGCTGTTCAGAAGCTTTTTAGTTCAGTGTAGACTCATTGTCTATTTTTGCTTTTGTTACCTGTGTTTTTGATATCATATCCAAGAAATCATTGTCAAAACCAATATCATGAAGATTTCCCCTATGTTTTCTTCGAGGAGTTTTACATTTCTGGTCATACATTTAAGTCTTTAACCTATTTTGAGTTAATTTTTGTGTGTAGTGCAAGATAAGGGTCCAATTTCATTCCTTTGCATATAGATATCCAGATTTTTCGACATCATTTGTTGAAAAGTCTATCCTCTCCTCAATTGTATACTTTGGCACCCTTGTTGAAGATCAGTTGACCATACGCTAGTCCTTCCTTATCTGTGGTTTCACTTTTCAAGATTTTAGTTACCTGTGGACAACCACAGTTAGAAACTAGTAAATAGAAATTTCCAAAATAAACAATTCATAAGTTTTAAATTGTGCACCATTACTGGAACATGGTGAAATCTCATGCTATCTAACTTCATTTCTCTGAAGACATGATTAGTCCATTTATCTACCATATCCTCGCTGCATATGCTACCTGCCTGCTAGTCACTTAGTAGCTGTCTCAGTTATCAGACTGACTGTCACAGTGTAGCAGTGCTTGTGTTCAAGTAACCCTTATTTTACTTAATAACAGACCCAAAGCACAAGACTAGTAATGCTGGCAATTTGGATATGCCAAAGCAAAGCTATAAAGTGCTTTAAGTGAAAAGGTAAAAAGATTTTTACTTAATAAAGAAATTTTAAAAATCATATGCTGAGTTTGATGTGATATACCATGAGAAAAAATCTATCTGTGAAATTGTGAAGAAGGAAAAAATAAATTCGTGCTAGTTTGGCTGTCATAGATTTCATTCCATTGTGGTTGGAAAAGATACTTGACATGATTTTCATATTCTTTTTTATTATTATTATACATTAAGTCCTAGGGTACATGTGCACAATGTGCAGGTTTGTTACATAGGTATACATGTGCCATGTTGGTTTGCTGCACCCATCAACTTGACATTTACATTAGGTATTTATCCTAATGCTATCCCTCTCCCAGCCTCCCATCCCGCAACAGGCCCTGGTGTGTGATGTCCCCCACCCTGTGTCTATGTGTTCTCGTTGTTCAACTCTCACCTATCAGTGAGAACATGCAGTGTTTGGTTTTCTATCCTTGTGATAGTTTGCTGAGAATAATGGTTTCCAGCTTCATCCATGTCCCCGCAAAGGACATGAACTTATCCTTTTTTATAACTGCATAGTATTCCATGGTGTATATGTGCCACATTTCTTAATCCAGTCTATCCTTGATGGACATTTGGGTTGGTTCCAAGTCTTTGCTACCGTGAACAGTGCCTCAGTAAACATACATGTGCATGTGTCTTTATAGTAGAATGATTTATAATCCTTTGGGTGTATAACCAGTAATGGGATCGCTGGGTCAAATGGTATTTCTAGTTCTAGATCCTTAAGGAATCGCCACACTGTCTTCCACAATGGTTGAACCAATTTACACTCCCACCAACAGTGTAAGAGCATTCCTAAAACATTCTAAAAAAAAAAGTGTTCCTAAAACGCTTTTTTTTTCTTCTTTTGAGAAGTGTCTGTTCATATCCTTTGCCCACTTTTTGATGGGGTTGTTGTTTTTTTCTTGTAAATTTGTTTAAGTGGATTCTGGATATTAGCCTTTTGGCAGATGGGTAGATTGCAAAATTTTTCTTCCATTCTATAGGTTACCTGTTCACTCTCATGACAGTTTCTTTTGCTGTGCAGAAGCTCTTTAGTTTAATTAAATCCCATTTGTCAATCTTGGCTTTTGTTGCCATTGCTTTTGGCATTTTAGTCATGAAGTCTTTGCCCATGTCTATGTCCTGAATGGTATCGCCTAGGTTTTCTTCTAGGGTTTTTATGGTTTTAGGTCTTATGTTTCTGTCTTTAATCCATCTTGAGTTAATTTTTGTATAAGGTGTAACGAAGGGGTCCAGTTTCAGTTTTCTGCATATGGCTAGCCAGTTTTCCCAACACCATTTATTAAATGGGAAATCCTTTCCCCCTTGCTTGTTTTTGTCAGATTTGTCATAGATCAGATGGTTGTAGATGTGTGGCATTATTTCTGAGGCCTCTGTTCCGTTCCATTTGTCTAGATCTGTTTTGGTACCAGTACCATGCTGTTTTGGTTACTGTAGCCTTGTAGTATAGTTTGAAGTCAGGTAGCATGATGCCTCTGGCTTTGTTCCTTTTGCCTAGGATTGTCTTGGCTATGGGGGCTCTTTTTTGGTTCCATATGAACTTTGAAGTAGTTTTTTCCAATTCTGTGAAGAAAGTCATTGGTAGCTTGATGGGGATGGCATTGAATCTATAAATTACCTTGGGCAGTATGGCCATTTTCACCATATTGATTCTTCCTATCAATGAGCATGGAATGTTCTTCCATTTGTTTGTGTCCTCTTTTATTTCGTTGAGCAGTGGTTTGTAGTTCTCCTTGAAGAGCTTTTGTTATCTGATAAAGTCTTTATCTCTCTTTAATTTTCAAAGAATATTTTTGCTGGACATAGTATTCTTGGTTGACAGTTTTTTTCTTTCAGCACATTGACTATATCATCCCACTCTCTCCTGGCTTGCAAGGTTTCTGCTAAGAAATCCACTAACAGATGTATTGGAAGTCCCTTGAATCATTTTTCTCTTGCTGCTTTCAAAATTTTCTGTTGTCTTTGTGGACTTCTTTTGATGTAGCCTATTTGAGGTAGGCTGGTCTTCTTGAATCTGGATGTTCATTTCCCTTCCCAGATTTAGGAAGATTTCAGCCATTATTTCTTTAAATAAGCTTTCTGTCCCTTTCTTTCTCTTCTTTTTCTGAGATGCCCATAACATGTATATGGATCCTTTCAGTGGTGTCCAATAGTCTTTAAGGCTTTTTTTACCTATTATTATTATTATTATTATCATTATTATTATTGTTTCTTTTTACTCCTCTGCCTAGTTTATATTTCAAATGAGTTGTCTTCAAATTTTCTGATTCTCTCTCTTGCTTGATCAAGTCTGCTGTTGAAACTTTATAGTGAATTTTTCATTTCAATTGTTGCATTTCTCAGCTCCAAAATCTGTTTGGTTCTTTTTTATATTTTCTATCCCTTTGCTGAAACTCTCATTTTGTTCCTGTATTGTTTTAATGAGTTTATCAATCACCTTTATGGTGGTTATTTTGAATTATTTGTCAGGTAATTAGTATCTAACTGTTTCTTTAGTATCAATTTCTGAAAATTTACTTGGCTCATTTGATTGGGCAATTTTTCTCTGCTTCTTTGTTTTCCTTGTAACTTTGCATTGGTATCTACACATTTTAACAATATAGCTACCTCTCCCAGTCTTTGTAGACTGGCTCCAGACAGGGAAACATCTTCACCAAGCAGCATAGCTACAGATTCAGGGGACATCTCAAACATTTTCTGTGGACATGACTCCTCTGGACATGTGTGTCTAGGTTCCTACTTAGAGAGATTTACCAATTTCTTTTTTCCTGAAACGCATAATTTCTTTTTCCATTGGTATCTATCTTTTGTACCACAGGTTCTCCAAAATAGCAGCATGCCATCTGACTCTTTTTGTTCCCAGTGGCCTTCCAGGCATCCAGAGTACATGAGGTCTCATCAGTGCCCCAGTTTGAGCTATAGAGAAACCAGTCCCTCTGGAAACCCCCCAAAAGCCAGAACACTGCATATATGCTCCAATCTTCACTCCTCCTAAGGAAGATACTGCCAAGCAGCATTGACCTCTGTCAGCTATACCACAGGTCCTCTGGAGCAGCAGCACACTGCCCAGCTCTTTTGTTCTAAGGAGCCCCCAGGTATCCAGAATATGCCATTCCCTGGCAGTACACTGAGATAGATGAGACAAAAACCTGTCCCCAAGGAAGCCCCTTGAAAGTTAGAACAATGGACATGTGCTCCAGTTTTCTCTCTCTCCCCAGGGAGAAGCCAGAAGCTGGAAGTTTCCCCCGATCATATGGCACTGTGCCAGAGAGACTATGGCAAGAGGGTGCCACAGGTTCTTCTATTGGCTTTGATGTAGCTGGCTTCCCATTTGCCTTGGATGCAAGTTTCTTAACTGGTTTCTGGATTTCTCACAAAGGGAATTGTTCCATGTATGGCTGTTGAATCAGTGGTGCCATGGGAGAAAGAGGGTCTGAGATTTCCTGTTTTACCATCTTGATGGTGTCTTTTAATGAACAGATTTTTTTTTTCATTGTAATCAAATTTTTCTGGTTTTTATTAAACATCTGTGTCTTGTTTATGGAATTTTTTACTCCAAGGACCTAAAGATACTCTATATTCACTTCTAAAAGCCTTTTACATTTGTTTTTAAGTCACATGGAGTTTATTTTTATGTACGTATAGATTTCAAATCAATGTGCATATAAATGTATGTAAGCATATATGAATTCATGTATATGTGTATGTATAATATATATTTATATAGGTGAGATTGGTTTTTCCATTTAGACAGGCAATTGTCCCAGCACCATTTATGGAAGAGTCCATTCTTTCCTCACTTCTCTAAAGTGACATCTTTTCATATATCAAGTGTAATATATATGTATGGGTCTGTTTGGGGGCTCTCTTTAATGTTTCCTTGACCTATTTGTCTATCCCTATTCAAATATCACACTGTGTAGATTACTGTATCTTTATAATTTGTCTTAGTATCAAATAAATTAAGTCCTTCTATCTGATTCTCTTTTTTCAAGAGTTTATTTAGTATTCTTAGCCTTTTATGTTTAAATTTCAGAAGTAGTATGTTATCATCTTTCACAGAATAAAACTTGGAATTTTATTGGAATTGCATTGAATCTATAAGTCAGTCTGGGGAAAATTGACATCTATAGATTAATGAGTCTTCAAATTCATTAACTTGGTATTTTTCTCCATTTACAAATTTTCTTTAACATCAGTTAAATGTTATAATTTTTCCAGTAGAGTTCTTACAAATTTTTGCTGAGTTTAGCATTAGGTATATATATTTTTAACAAATGTTAACTCTTTTAAACTTTCTTTTTCTAATGGTTTGTAGAAAATATATGGAAATATAATTAAATTTTTGCTTGTTTTTATATCCAGCAAACTTACTAAATTCTCTTAGAGTTACGTAATAACAACTCTGAGACTTTCTTACTCTCCAAGTCTCATACATCCTATTTTTTTCTTCCCCCATTGTACTAGAAAAGTCCAATATTGAAGAAAAGTGGTGATAGTGGACATTCTTTCATGTTTTGAAAGGGAAATGTTCAGCATTTCATGATTAAAATTCTCTTCAGGGGAGATTCAATTATCAAAGTAACATGACAGACATGAAAAGGAACCAAATGAAAATGAAGAACATTTTTTTAAAATCACATCTCTCTCTCAATTGATGGAAAAAGCATCTTTAATATTAAACTAAAAATCTACTGATGATAAAAAATGCTTGCTGAACTGGGAATAGAGGGAACTTTCTTAATCTGACTAGATAAAATACACTTAATTATGAAGCCCCTGAGGCTCCAGCTCAGAAGAGGGTATCTCCTGTAAGATTCCCCAGCCTCAGTAGGCCCTGGACCCTGATTTTTCTCTGGACTTCATCCAGACATGGAACCAGACTTCAAATGTTATGTCATCCATAAGTGCCTTCTAAATCAAGATAGCATTGGTGCTTCAGTATTCCACTTACTTTTCAAGATCTCATTCAAAACCTAGCCAGGGAATGCCCACTGATTTTTCAGACCTTGAGTATTTTTAAGTTGCTGTATACACACACGCAGACACACATAAATATAAATACACACACACACACACACACATTTTGTCCAGCATATTTTATTTTCAGTGGGAAGATTAATCTGAGTAATCCAATTTATCATTTCCAAATACCAGACTTAGATGATATTTTTAAAATGTCTTTTATCAAAAGTTTGATCAAGCAAATAATTTTCTAGTTCTATTTTGCTTTATTTACTTGTTTATTTTTTGGCAGTGAGCATTTGGCCTTGAATACTTCTTTGCACATGGTGCCTCCGCTGGCTACAACGCTTTTCCCTTCCCACAACTCTAATTTGCTGAGCTAACTCTCCCTCATGCTTCAACATAGTCCAATAATCACATCAGGAGGTCTTACCCATTCCATTTCTAAACAATCCGAGTTCAGTAGACCCCATGCATTTTATAGCAGACAGAGAGGATATATTTAACAACATAAGTGTTACAAGAATACTAGCCAATATGAACAGATCTGCAGGCCAATAAGAATAGACGTGATCTGTAAACAACCAGGACCAGTATATACTAGCTAAATATCACCTATGCTCAAAGCATATAGTACAGTAAGATGTGGTAAGATACAAAGATTATCATGATGCTTCTCAAGTTGTTCTGTAACTTGCTGTTTACCTATCTCTTGTGGTAATCTGTGAGATTACTATGAACAGGGACCAATCATACTCACCCTGGGATCCTGTGTTCCATGGAATCTTGGTTTTAAAAAAGAGGTTCCAAAAAATATTATTTGAATTAGGTAAAGGAAGTTATATTGAGGGAATGTTCACTAAATAAATCACTTCCTATTACTTCACAGCTTTAATCCCTGGAAAGTCCACGAACAATGAATCCATTTCATGCATCTTGTTGGAACACCTCTGCCGAACTTTTAAACAAATCCTGGAATAAAGAGTTTGCTTATCAAACTGCCAGTGTGGTAGATACAGTCATCCTCCCTTCCATGATTGGGATTATCTGTTCAACAGGGCTGGTTGGCAACATCCTCATTGTATTCACTATAATAAGGTAAGGAATGGCTCCTTTTTTTTTTTTTTCCTTCCATACTTTAGGAAACTACAGTCAAAGCTCCCTAAATGAGTCCTTTCCCCTGTAGCATTTTGCTTAATGAAATGCAATTTTGGAAATATTTGCTTAAGATAATTAATGAAGATTCTACAGATATTTTCGTCATGCATTAGGTAACATCTCAGTTGCAAATCTCAACATGCTAAGACCTAGGCCAATGCTTACTGCTGGGTCAGTGAGTTTTTAGGGAAATGACTCTCACTCTCAGTCTTAGCTGCATATTAGAATCATCTGGGGAGCTTTAAAAACTCCTGATATGCAGTTTCACCCCAGACCCATTAACTCAGAATCTCTAAGGGTAGGGCCCGGGTAAGATTTAAAACTGCAATGCAACATTTCATTTTCCAGCAATAAGAATTATCCTAAAAAGCTGACCTGTTTAGGCAGGTGAAAGAGATTCTTTTACTCACTTGGGCAAAAGAGAGACTTTATGTTATCACCAGAAGATGCAGGAAGTCATAGGTAGTGGGCTGTTCCCTTTGGTGTAGACCAGCCTATATAAACCAAACTGAGAGACATCTGCCCCCGAGTACCTCCTGCATGGGCACCACATCTCCCACCTAATTCAGGTAATTTCCTCCTCTCAAGTAGAGAGACAGAATAAGAACTTTACTTGGAGAATAAGAACTGATTATTTGTTTTCTAGGGACTTGACAAAATGGATTCAGAATTAGTGCACACTAGCCCTATAGCTACTTGGTATATTTACTATCCTGATTATTTTCACATGTAAGTTTTGCTAGTTTTAATAACTATAGGATGTTAAATTTTTCATCCTAGTTTCTGATTATACTTAAAATTGCCATTTTCAAAATGTTCTTCCATATTCATATGTTATAAAAGATATTCTAGACTGCAGGTTTAGTATCCCTTATCCAAAATGCTTGCGACCAGAAGTGGTTCAGATTTCAGATTTCTTTTTATTTTGTGCTGTTTGTATATGCATAATGAGATATCCTGCAGAAGGGACCAAGTCTAAATACAAAATTCATTATGTCTCACTTATACCTTATACTCATAGCCTGAAAGTAATTTTATGTAATATTTTGAATAATTTTATGCATGAGACAAAGTTTTTGTAAATCAAACCATCAGAAAGTAAAGGCGTCACTCTCTCAGCCACCCATGTGGACATCTGTGGTTGTTTGGCATCACCATCATTCCTGACTCTATATTGACATCCAACCAATAAACAATCACTTTCTTAAACTTATTCACACAACAATACTTAGCAGTAAAAAATATGACCATTAACACCACTAATACAGTGAAAAATAATGTGTTCAGGGGAACTAAGCAGCCCAGTAACATCACCAGAACACCTGCACCAGCTGTGAAATGACAGCAGCTGAAGGGGGCTGGGAGGGTCATTTTTCCCTTGGAGACGCTGTGTGTTATACAGCAGCATTTTGACTGCAACCCATCACATGAGGTCAGGTGTGGACCGTTCCACTTGTAGGGTCATGTTATTCCTCAAAAAGTTTCAGATTTTGGAGCATTTCAGATTTTGGATTTTCAAGTTAGGGATGCCCAACCTGCACTACCTAATAGGTGTTTTCAGCATCATATTAACACATAACTGCAACAAACTTTTGTGGAGCATATTACACTTAAAAAGCACAGCAGTACTATTATTACACCCATTTAAGAAAAGAGGTTCAGATGAGTAAATAACTGGTCCAGCATCAGAGCTAGTAAGTAGCGATCCTGGCAATCGAACTCAGATTTATTCCGAATCCAAGGCTATTTCCTCCACAACTAATGAAAACAAAGAGGTCATCAAAATTATAGAGACAGTTGTTGGATTTGCTGTAAAGATAAAAGAATCCTCACAGGCTTAACTGAGAGCAAGAGGAGCCCTCAGGATGGTCATGTGAGAAGGTCACCCCGAGAAGGCTCGTAACTTGTCACTTCCCCAGGTGGCGTCTCATCAGCCAGCCCTCTCTCAAACCTTCAGTTTCGCTATCTCTGCAGTTAGAAGTAGAGGATCAATGGTATTTTTTACACCAGTCACAGCTGAAGATTTATTTAGTACATAGGGATTCTACTCTTAATAAATTCAAGCATTCCTTATTGTGTCCTGTAAAGCTATTTGTGAATATCAAGCATTTTAAATTTTTCTTTAAGTGCTAGAAGAAATTCAATTCAATATCTATTAGTAAATACCTATTGCATGCCCTGCATTGCCCTAGGGTTTATGAAAATACCAAAAAAAAAAGCAGCGTCTATCTAAAAAGTTCATATTCTAGTGGGGAAGATGAGATTTAAACTCATGGAATAATTTGAAAAATAATACAAGAAAGACTTTAAAAACAATCAAGTGGGGGAAAAAAGATGGCTCAGATAAGTTCCAGGAAAGAAAATGGAAGTAATCAATATTCTAAGGGAGCTTCAAAGAGGCAATAGTGCTGAGTAGAGAGTTAATAGCCACAGACTTGAGAATGTTTCTAGCTCACTCCCATTTGCCTGTTGGACCTGCCCAGTTCTCCTTCCATCTCTCCCTCATGGCCTCCAGTATTTCTGCCCTGCTCTTCTACAGATACATATGGTGTGTCCTACACTCAAAAGCCTTGGTACCACCATTGAAAAACCAGGTCCTTATTAGGTGTTAGCCCTTCCGAAATGTTTGCATTTTCACAGGCAACTTTTATATGCAAAACCTCTTCAGTGTGGGATTCCAGCTCTTGTGACAAGCTGTTGAAGAGATGTCTGGAGCCAGAGAAATTTCTTGGATCCCTCAATTTACACCAATAGATAACAGCTTAATCCCATCTATTTATACAGAGACAAAGTTGTAAAAAAGGAAGACATGGGCAATGTGAACTCTTCTAAAAGTCAATTCTGAGCTGTAACTTATGGAAACAGATTTTCAACATAAAGTCAACCGTCATTTAACTGAGGAGAAAAACACCTGAGCCATTGTACGGACCAATTGGTTTGCAATATTGAGAAAAATCTATCATTTCTTCATATTATCATTTTATACATAATGTGAGAATATACATTAGATAAAGAAATGCTAATGGAGCTTTTAAAATAAATATTGTAATCTTTCAAAAAGTATCAGGAACAACTTTTAATTAAAACAACAGTTTTAATTTTTTTGCTAAGATTTTAACACTTTTCCTTGCACATGGCTCTCCAAAAATGTATTAATCTTTCAAAAGTGATTTGAAAGCAACTTACATTTATTTATTTATTTGGCTAGGAATTTATCAACTTTTTTGCAAATTGCTCTCTAAATATTTTAAGGCAGTTTGTATTAATGTTTTCATCATGCTTTGCCATGATCTTTTATTTGTTACTTTATGAACAGACAGGTGAATTAAATAAAATATTAAGACTACAGTAATGATAAGGAGAAATAAATAACATTTAAACAAGATTTAATGACTTTTCCTTTTACAGTAGTAATTGTATCAAAACCATTGTTCATCAATAGAACTAAAAGTCAATAAAATCATTAATGATGCTGGAAAGCAAGCAATGAACTAATTTCTGACTTTGCCAAATGAAGACTAGAAACGTATATAAAATAAATATGTTTAAGGAAGATGGAGCTTCAAGAATAAGATGTTCTATGTGCCTTTTTTTAAAAGCAAGAAACAACTTGTGCATTAGGAGGGTGACTATAAAATAATGAGGCCTGATCATCACTAGTCTGTTGTACATTAAATTTACAGCAGGTGAAAGGAAGCCAGTTTAGAAAATGTAGGCAGAAAATTGAGCCAATTATAATATTTTCCTCTTGCATTCCCAGGAGACAGATTGATGAACTCAACCCCATTACTCAACTAGTCTCCACAGGCACAGCAGGCCCTGGGAATCACCTATACTTCAATAAACGGACAACTTTGTTTTGTCAGACCCCCACATCTACCTTCTGAACACATCTTTCTTCTGTTTACTGACAGACTCCCTTCAACTGGGCAGAGTCTCTATAAAAGGTGCCCTATCCTCCAAAAATAGAGTTCCCATTTTGTCACTTCCTGCCCTCATCTCCCTGTCAGGTCAACTAATTCACACTAAGTCATGAATTCGTGAAACAGAGGTTACGAGATGGACAATGTGTTAACCTAGAGGAATACTGTCTAATGGTAGAATTCCAGCTGCTGACAGGGATGGAAAACGTTTTAGAACACAGGTCTCTTTTTTCCCCACCCAGATTAAATAATAACTAACAGCTCCCTCTGACCCAGCCCTCTACCATTCCAAGTGTCAGCCATACACAGACTCTTGTTGGAATTGACCCATACCCTTGGCTGCACAGATATGTTTTCGATGCCAGAGTACCATGCAACAACATCTGTTCAGATGAGCTGTGGTCCAGTTGGCCAATATGAGAAGCTGGCTTGGGAATCTAAGGAAGTTGAATCGCTTGCCTAAGGACACAATGAGCGAGGGCATAGAAATGAAAATAAAATTCCCAGTTAGGTTATCTTTCCACTCTGTCACTCTATGTATCTAGGGAAGGGTTGGCAAATATAGGACTCTACTATAAACTCTCTCACCCTTAGCAGTCATCTCTAATCACGCAGGTCTGTCCTGTATAGCATCTGTCCTGTATAGGTCTGTCCTGTGTGAGGACTCAGAATTCTTCTCAGCACAGTGCTTCAGGAAATGACTACTAATCCATTGGCATAGGCTCATGATAGCAATTTAATTCAACTAGAGTTAAATGCCAGATGGGATGGTGAGGCAACCCAGAGATTAACAAGAGCAGGAAGCCACTTCTACACCCTATCCCATCCCTCACCCCAACACCACTTTCCTCTCCCTGCCCCAAGCTGGAGGGAAAAGGGAGAAAGAGGTTTTTCAGTCCTCAGGAGTCTGGGCTGCCTGGTGGGAGCTGGAGCCCCACTGGTATCTTGGACCATGGAGTGAAGGCTACATTCTGGCTTCTCCTCTCCTCCTTACTCTCCAGTTCCCACTGGTGCTTCTGACTGGCTAAACCTAATCAGAAGCCAATTGGCAAAGGGGCCTGAGGACAGGCTGGCGAATGACAAGCACAGCAGCCTACATGCGTAGTGTTATGTTTTGTTAGTTTTACTAATTCATATCATATGTTGTTATTTCTGATGGCAAAAGGTAAGCATGATTTTAATAGAAATTTTGAAAAATTGTGAGAAAATGCAAACAATAAAGTAAAAAATCAGTCATACTACTACCAAATAGATGATCACTGTGATCACTTGACATATTGTTCCTGCAAATTTTTTAACAAATGTTTAAATAAATTTAGAGTCATGCTATACACATTATGAGTATTCTTTCTTTTTTCTTTTTACTTAATAGTATTAGTATTTTCTCATCTGATTAAATATTCTTTCAAACTATGACTACAGGTACATCCTATTGAGTGTGGTAGTGTGGAAATACCATAATTTATTTTATCATTCCTCAAATTAATGAGTATTAGATATGACCACGTTAACCATATGGAGCACATGTTAGCCAAAATTATCACAAGTCTTTGTATTTTATATTAAATGTTTACATCGTAAGAAATATAAATTCCATGAAGTCTGACAACAGGAAATCTAAAGATAAATTAGACCTAAAAAGGGATATAATTTATATAGTTAGAAATTTTACAATTTCTATTTAATTGTTTTTAATTTTGATGCTGTTGCTTTCAGTAAAGAAGACAATAATAAATATAATGTGTTATTCATATTGCCCTAGTAACTTATGTCCAGATAAATTTATCAGTTGCTTCAGAACTCTCTTTGTACTATACAGAATATCATCTAGACACACTTTTATTTAATTCTTTTTGATTGCCAGTTAATGGCCTGCACTGTTCCCACAATAGAATTACCATAATTCATTATCAGTAAATGATGGGTACCCCTCTAGAGAAAAGCAAGGGCCATGGATCTAATTGCTGCAATTGAGACCTAAGCAACTGCTTATGGTTTATATCCCAATTCACATGAAAATAACATCTATTTATAGACTAAGATTTATGATTTTTTTTTTTTTTAGTTTGGAGCTCTTTCTATCTGACTGCTAATATCTGTCCCTCTTCCCTGTCCCCTCTCCATTTCCCAGTCTAATGACCTGAAGAGGACAGGGGATGAGAGACCAAGGACAGTCAGCTGGCTGGTCTTTTGTTTGACATGATCTTTTCTTCATGTCTCCTCTCCCTCTTGGTCATTCTGGTGTGAGGCACCAAGCTCCTGAGGGAAAGGAACCAACCTGTTTTTTTAGTGGCAGCAACAATGCGTACAGTATGGTTGCTGAATAAGGACTCCATGGCAGTAACTTCCCCACACAGTGGATGCTGCCAAGGCCTGGAGAAGAGATGGCCTCGCCCAGTCTAATGTTTCACATGAGAATCTGACAGCTGAGAAATGAAGTTCACAGGCTATAGAAGTTGTAACCAATGAATAATAAAGACACACACTAGCTTCCAAACAGCAGAGCACTAGCCCTGAAATAGGAAAAAACTAGCAATTGTGGCATAATCTTAGGACTGGTTCTTAACATGCTCTTTAAATTCTTATTTGTCCACATCTGCCAATAAACCTGTCTTGACAGTTCCCAGGAAAGAGGAGGGGGCCCCTTCTTTGTGCTTCTTGTCCTTGTACTTGTCTCTAGTTTTCTCTCATCAAATTGTGATGTGATCATTTATTTATGCATGTCTAGACTATAAGCTCCTTGATGACAGGGTTTATACATAGTTCAGCTTTACAGCCTTAGAGCACAACATTATGCCTGCCATGTAATTGGTGCTCAATAAAATGTTTTTTGAATTAATGAACAGAATCTCCCAGATAAAGATGATACCTGCTTATTATTGAATGTGCCAGCTCCTTGAAGTAGGAACCAACTAAATTTTAAATTTCTGCTCTCAGAAATGTATTTCACCTGCTGATGAGAAGGCCACTTCTAGATAGCATTGAATTCACTTCTCCCACCCCCGGCTCCCCACAGGAGACATGAGATCATTCTCAGTGCCATCTACCAGCTCCCTCTTTTCAGATGACTCTCACTGTCTGGATCTCAGGGTCTTTATTAATAGTCTTTGCTATTTGTTAGATTTTACTGGAATATTTCTAAGTCATTGTTGAAATCTTAACAATGGCCTAAGCTGCAATAAGAAAAAAAATGCATTAGACAACAGAAATCATTTATTTTCAGTCTTCAGCTGTTTTAAATACTAGGAATGAGTAAAGACTAAATCTTTTACCTGAGTGTATTTAAAGTTGGTATAACTTGTTGCTGCATAAAAAATTACCCCAAACATAGTGGCTTGAAACAATAAACATTTACTGTCTCACGTGTGTCCAATGGTCATGGATTCAGGAGCAGCTTAGCTGGTTGGTTCTGGCTCATGATCTGTCATAAAGTTGCTGTCAAGCTGTCTTCCAGGGTTACAGTTATCTGAAGGCTTGGCTGCGGCTGGAGGATCTACTTCCAAGGTAGCTTATTCCCATACCTGGAAAGCTGGTGCTGACTGGTTGTTAACCAATTCCTCTCCACATGGACCTCTCCATAGTGTTGCTTGAGTATCCTCACAAGATGGTAGCCGGCTACCACCAGGGAAAGCAATCCAACAGAGAGCAAAGAGAAAGCCCCACAAAAATTTTGTGACCTAATTTCAAAGTCACACACTGCACTTCTGCCATATTCTCATTGTTAGAAGCAAGTTAATAAGGTCAGCACTCAGAGGGAATTAGGCTCCACCTACTGAAAGGAATATCAAATATTTTGTGGACATATTTTTAAACCACCACAGTAAGTTATCAAATAAATAGTTCAAAATGCTTAAATACACACAAGACTAGGCATTTCCTCTATGCATCTGTATAGGTTTTCCTTTAACATTTAAAATGCATTATGTCAATTAAAAATTTGTATGAGGTAGCATATATCGAATAGTCTGTATACATTCAATGTCAATCCTCAGTTTCCTCTATCTCTTTCAGATCCAGGAAAAAAACAGTCCCTGACATCTATATCTGCAACCTGGCTGTGGCTGATTTGGTCCACATAGTTGGAATGCCTTTTCTTATTCACCAATGGGCCCGAGGGGGAGAGTGGGTGTTTGGGGGGCCTCTCTGCACCATCATCACATCCCTGGATACTTGTAACCAATTTGCCTGTAGTGCCATCATGACTGTAATGAGTGTGGACAGGTAAGTGAAAGACTTTGAAATATCTTAATATAATTCAGAGGTGCCTGTGCTTCCCCAAGCTCATTCCAATTCCAACACCAGTTTTGGTTTATAACAGCAGAGGTTTTCTTCCTTTGTTTCACTGTAGAACTGATTACTTAAGAATATTTTGTTCAACTTTCACAGAGGAATATTTTTAATGGAAAACATAAAACACAAAAATCTCCTTTTTTCTAATCATTCTTTTTGACTCAGTTTTATTTGCAATTCAGTGCAAGAAAAAAAAATCACAAAACCAGGAAATATTAGAAACCAGAATGAATTCCCCCCATCAATTTCACAGTAAAGAAGCTGAGGCCCAGAGAGGTGAGGAGATTTGCTAGAAGCACATAGAGAATTAGTGGCAGAACCAAGAATTAAAGTAGGTTTCCTTAGTCTCTGTCCAAGGCTATTTCTGATATGTCCACTGTCTCATACACTTGTTATTGCCTCATAGCTCTAAGGAATCAGTGGAGTAAATAGATGTTATTATACAACCATGAAGCAATTTCCCAGTGCCAGGGAGATCATCTTTTACAAACATTATTGTGATTGGTTAATACAAATGCTGTTATTTTATATTATTAGAAATGTATTCCACTATGTCTTGGAAATGTGCCATAGCCCTTTTCACCATCCATGTAAGCTAATGTTATTTGAGGAGATGATGGTGATGGTGAGTACTTATGGAACCAATAAGTGGTAGAATCCAGTTCAGACCCAAGCCATCTGACTCTAGAGATGGCAGATAGTTGTAACTGCCTCACTATCTGGCCTGTCTAGGAAGCATGCAAGCTAGGATATGCCCTGCATTATCCAGATGCCAGAACGTCCACACCAGGTCCTAGCAGCTCACCCCAAACAGAAACAGAGCCTAAAGACAACCATAGTACTTCCAACAGTGATACTCTGTCTTCTAGGACAACCCACTTAAAATCTCCATCTGCCTTCTTCCCAACCCAACCCTAGCCCAACACATTTAATCCTCTTTGCTCTGATCTACTGTTTTTCCTTTGATTCAAATATATTACATAAATCACGTGTGTGTGTGTGTTATTTATTGTCTCATTCCCTTGTACCTCAGATGTCAATTCCACAAAGGCAGGGTCTTGGTCCACCAATATATCATAAATGTGTATGTAACAGTGCCTGGCACTCAGGTGCTCAAAAAATATTGATGAATGAATGAATGAATGAATGTCTTGAAGGGTATGTTAAATTTCCCTGGGTCCATCCAGAAATTGTCCTGAACCCTGCCTCTTTCACCCTTCTAAGTGAGACTTTTTGGTGGGGAAGTGATGAGCCATTCTTCAGATGAACAAAAAAAGAATTGCAAAGTTCATATAAATAATTCACTCTGACAAGAACGAATAATAATGGTAAATTTTTAAATATCCTTTTGTTTTTCTGCAAGAGAACTTTCAAAATATAGAATGTGCTTCTCAACTTGTAACTAACACATTTTTAAATCAATATACTGCATAGCTCTGGTTAGCTCAGCTAATGCCAGCCAATGTGACTGTGTCATGAGAAAAGCCCCATATGCTTGTCAGGGTTCCAATACCAGGAAGAGGGCCTTGAACAGGCCAGGCTCACTGTAGAAAAGTGACCTAAAGTACAGACCATACCAACAGTAATCCCATTCTTGGGGATAATACGAGCTTCTTTATATACTGTGCCTTGGATGCAGGAGAATATTGGCTTTTTTTGAAAAAAAAAAAAATAAACAGGTATACTCCTATAAATCTCTTACTGTAAATGAAGTGAATGGGCATTTTCTGCCTTGGAAGAGACAAACTGTGTATGTTTTTAAATATTGACAGGTTTTTCTCTGTGTATATATGTGTGCACACATGCAGGCGTGGTATCTTACTCCTAGTCTTTTGTTTTGTTTTGTTTTAATCCAATGGACATAGTATGCTAAAATTTCATTTCACATTTAAGACATTCTGCCCTTTCCTTCCCCTCATTCTGGAAGATCAGGTGGTAAGAAACAAGTGAAGAGCCTATAAAACTGAACCATTTCCTTCCTCACATTTCTTGTAATTCTAACTCCACTAAATTCATAAAAGTTTAACAAAATCTGCAATTTTGTAAAAGAGAAATGAGGCTTGCTTTGTAAGATCATAACTAAATGTCAGTGCCATCAGTATGCCTTAGTGTTTACATATTTAAATCATTTTAATTGCCAGTTTAATAGATCATGCATTTCAAGTGTTTCCAATAACTCATTTTGCTTTCCCTAATTAGTGATAACTGCAAGTGTGTAGAATATTTAGTAGTGGGCTTCTACCTCCATAGCCATACAAAAACAATATATAAATATCCAAAATATTAAAAATGTTTGCCTTCAAATGAAAGCTACCTAGACTTTCATTAGTGGCTACTTTTATAAATAAATTCTCTAAAACATCAAGAGTCAGTAAGTAGGAGCCAAAATTTGCAATTGATTCATTCATTTGTTCAAAAAATATTTATTGAGCATGAACCATATGCCAGAGATTGTTGGACACAGGGGATACAGTGGCCTTAAACTAATAGTCAAGGCTCCTGCCCTCATGGGGCTTTCATTCTAGTGGTGTAGACAGACATTAAGTGAAGAGTCCCACAAGTAATTGTATATTTCCACATAGCGATCATACACTAGGAGGGAAAAGTAGAGTCTCCTATAATCTTCTTTTATAGTCATGGTCCCTCCTATAGAATGGGTGGTCAGAGAAGTCTTCCCTAAGAGGGAGACAGTTAAATAGGGACTTGAAGGAAGAGCAAGAAGAAGCAGAGGCAGATCCTGCCAGGCAGGTAGAGCAGCAAGTGCCTAACCTTGAAAGGGGAAGAGCTTGAGGAAGTCAAGAGAGAGACTGGCACAGGCTCCAGCTTGAGCAGCAGGCAGAACCAGGTGGGAAAAAAGACCTGTGGATCATGGGAGGAATTCTGAAAATTGATGGAAAACCACTGAAAGGTTTTCAGCTGGGGAGGGATGCTATCAGAGAAGATTCCTTAATTGCTTGATCCCATGACTTCCTCATCCTATAATTCCAGTAAAAATGATGGCTGGGCTGCTATGCAGTCACTACATCATCCACTTCCGCAGCAGGGAGAAAAGAGGCCCTTCCCTCGTTAGCCATGGGGAATGCATGTGCAGTGTGCAGAGAGGATGGGTAGCTGAGGAGCCCTGGCCAGAAACCACTCTCTGCAACCAAAGGCCCCTTAACTGAATGCAAATGTCCTGCTTCTGGTGCAAAATTGAAAGCGCAAGAGGACAGGAAATTTGTTATTTTTGTGAGTCTTCATTAAGTAGCTTTGCAAAAACTTGGAGAAAATTAAGTGACCATAAAAACCATTTTTACATTTGTTTAATTTCTACTAATACTATCCTCCACCACCCCCAGCTCCCAGCAAAGCTGTGCTTTTTCAAATAGCCTTCCTTCTGAATCTGAACTTGTTTTTCATTCTCAGCTTTCATTTTGCTCTGAAAAATTCTTGGATTTGCTGGAGGACCAAATACATTTGATATGTCAGAATTTCAAGTTTGATTAATGATTACCCCTTTTTTCCTGGCCCTAAAATGAAAAGAGAAAAATAAAGAAAAATGCCTCCCCATGAAATTAGCCTATTTCTTCCCTCTGGCTTCTAGCCTAAGTTCCTTAAGGAATTTGCATTGTCTATACTAGCCATACTTGTTAATCCTCACTGTGACTTCTGTGAGCTGAAACTCCATGAGCCTGGTGACTTAAGTATAAAGCCATCAGGGCAAAATGTTTGTTCTATGTGCCTGAACCCCTTCCTGCTGAGGGATTCTCTTAACCCCACATTTTCTTCCTTCCTGCCTCTGTGTCAGTAAATCTTGCTGGGAAAAGGGTTATTTCCTCCTGCAGGAAATCCCTGTTCAGAGACAAAGTTTTCCAGAGTTTCGTTTATAGGAAAAGCCCCTTTGTAAAGAAAGAGTTTGCACTGTAGAATTTTACCATTATCAATGTATTCATAGAAGGAACAACTATTTCAGTGAGTGGTTTATTCAGACTTGCAGGGTCAAGAATTGTTTTCTCTACAGATACCAGGCAGATCTTAAAAAATATAACTTTCATGTCCTTTGTAGGGACATGGATGAAATTGGAAATCATCATTCTCAGTAAACTATCGCAAGGACAAAAAACCAAACACCGCATGTTCTCACTTATAGATGGGAATTGAACAATGAGAACACATGGACACAGGAAGGGGAACATCACACTCTGGGGACTGTTGTGGGGTTGGGGGAGGGGAGAGGGATAGCATTAGGAGATATACCTAATGCTAAATGACGAGTTAATGGGTGCAGCACACCAGCATGGCACATGTATACATATGTAACTAACCTGCACATTGTGCACATGTACCCTAAAACTTAAAGTATAATAATAATAAAAATAAATAAATAAAAATTTAAAAAAATAAATAAAAATTAAAATATATATATATATAAAACTTTCTTTTGCCCTGATAGAGGTGTGCTTCAGAAAGGAAAATAATGCTAAGAATTTACTCTCATCATGAACCTTTCATCCTTGGAGCTCAGTGCTTTTATTGATTGTTCCAAAACTCTTCCTGACTGCCTTTGCAGGTACTTTGCCCTCGTCCAACCATTTCGACTGACACGTTGGAGAACAAGGTACAAGACCATCCGGATCAATTTGGGCCTTTGGGCAGCTTCCTTTATCCTGGCATTGCCTGTCTGGGTCTACTCGAAGGTCATCAAATTTAAAGACGGTGTTGAGAGTTGTGCTTTTGATTTGACATCCCCTGACGATGTACTCTGGTAAGTTGTGAAAACTTAAGAAAAACGAGTTGAATTAAGTTGTGAAGAACTTCATTCTCCTTGTCAACATGTGAGCAGCCTCAAAGAGTATCCTTATGGATCCTCTTCTCGCCAGTATCTCCATTAGGTTTCTCCACACATACAATCAAGGTGATAAGTTTGATTTTTAAGGAGAGGGTAACCTTTAGAAAAAGATTTTGAATTCAATCATGTAACCTCAGTGGACACAAATATATTTAAACATGGATTTTAAACATTCATAGCAGCCAGACGCAGTGGGAATGCAGCAATCAAGGGAGGTAAGGAATTTCCAGAGTCACTCAGACTCCACCTCATCAGTATGCAATTGCAGTTTGCTTGAATTATGTCCCCTATAAAGACATGTTCAAGTCCTACACCAGCTCCCCATACCTGTGAATGTGATCTTATTTGGAAATAGGGTTTTTTCAGATGTAATCAAGCTAAGTTAAGGTCATGCTGGATTAGGGTGGGCCCAATGACTATTGTCCTGATAAGGAGAAGCAGATTTTAAGAAACACAGAGACACACAGAAAAGAGAATACAGGTGAAGACAGAGGCGGAGATTGGAGTGATATGTCTGTAAGCCAAGGAACACCAAGGATTGCCAGAAACCAGCAGAGAGGGTAGGAGGGGGCATAGAGCAGATTCTGCTTCAGAGCCTCTGAAGAACCAAATTTGCCAGCACCTTGATTTCAGATGTCTAGCTTTCAGAGCTGTGAGAGAATAAATTTCTATTGTTTTAAGCTATGCAGTTTGTGCTAATTTCTTATAGCAGTCCTAGGAAACTAATGCAACTACCATAGCCGTTTTATACATTTTAATTTAAAAAGAAATTAAAAGTCTTCAATTTGAAATTTGAACACAGAATTGGAGTTCATGATTAAATTATTTGAGCAACTACCAATGACCAATAACTGTGTTAGATATTTTTACATATGCTATCTCAAGTCAGTCTGGCAGATTACTTTCTCTTACTCCATCACTTGTCAAATAGATAAGTCATTTCTGCATTATGTGGACACAGCCAAAGAAAGATGGCGGTAAAGGACCTGCAAATCCGCTAATCCAGTTAAAAAAAAAAAATTCATATGCTTGCATGTCTTGTTCAGTTCAGTTTAGTATAACAAAGCACTATAGACTAGGTGGCTTGTAAACAATAGAAATTTATTTTTCACAGTTCTAGAAGCTGGAAATCCAAGATGAAACTGCCAGCATGATCAAGTTCTGATGACAGCCCTCTTCCAGGTTGCAGTCTGCCAACTTCTCATTTTGTCCTTATGTGGCAAAAGAGAGAGACAGGAAGCAAGCTCTCTTGTGTCTCTTCTTATAAGTACACTATTCCCATTCATGAAGGCGCGACTCTCATGACTTAATTAGTTCCCAAAGACCCTACTTCCTCATACCATTATATTTGGGGTTAGGTTTTCAACATAGGAATTTTGAGGGAACACAAACATTTGGGACATAACAGTGCAACATAGATAGGACTGCACTTCCAGTTCCAAAATGGCAGCATAGAAGCAAGCTGACTGAATGCCCCCACTCCCAGAGCCCTCAGAAAATCAAAGACAAATATACAGCACCAAGGTTATCATTAGCAATATCCCAGAACTCCAGAACTCCAGAACTCAAATATGTGGATGAGATGGTTCCTCAGGATTCAGAGAAGTGAAAAAAAAAAAAAAAAGCCTCCAAGCCAACTGTAACAGAATCAGATTTCCACATCCATGACACCCCTCTCCCCCATTCTGCCTGACACCAAACACATGAAAAACTTCCCCCCAACTCACAGTTTCTACACTGAAAAAAACGAGATCAAGGTAGACAACCAGCTTTCCCACCACCTTGGGTTCCCTGACAAAATACCTGTCTCTGCCTTAACCTATGGGAAGTATCATAAGTTCTGGAAGGGAGAAATATCCCTGAGAACAGGCAGAGACAAAGTAGGGAGGTGGGACTGTTGCTCTGTAACTCAGCCAAAGGAGACACTAAATCAGAGTGGCTATATAGCAGTACACTCCAGGAGGTACATTCAGCAGGTCCCCTGGACAAACCCCTAGCCAGGCTTCCCACACCTCCGGGATATCTCCTTTGGGACTTCCCCCATTCAGGACAGCCAGTGACTGATGGGTCACTAGAGCCAAAGCAAGCCTGGGCTTAAGGCACCACCTAGAGCCAAAAGGAGACAGCAACCTAGCGATAAAGACTCTCTAAGCAAATACAGGAAATAAAAACCAAAACAACTCAGACAGAGAAGACTGGAATAAATAGCAAATCCTTAATGCAAAGACATAGATGTACATCCATAAGAAGCAACAGCAAACAGTGAACCATCAGGGAACCAGTAACTGACCCTAATGAGACAGCAATATGTGAGCTCTCTGGCCAATAATTCAAAATAGTGGTTTTTAGGAAACTCAGTGATCTCAAGATAACACACAAAAGCAATTCAGAAATATATCAGAGAAATTTAACAAAGAGATTGAAATAATTTTAAAAATTAAAAAAAATCTTGGAACTGAGAAATACACTTGCTAAACTGAAAAAGTTACTAAAAATTCTCAACAGCAGAACGGGTCAAGCAAAGGAAAGAATTAGTGAGCTCAAAGACAGGCTATTTGAAAATACACAGTCAGAAAAAGGAATGAAAAGAAATGAAGACTGTATACAAGATATAGAAAAAATTACTTCAAAAGACCAAATCTAAGACTTATCGGTGTTCAAGAGGGAGTTGAGCAAGCGCAAGGAGTAGAAAGCTTATTCAAAGAAATAATAACAGAAAATTTCCCCAAATTGAGAAAGATGTAAATATCCAGATATGGGAAGATCAGAGAACACCAAACAAAATCAACCCCAAAAAGACTGTACCCCAAGGCATATAATAAACTCTCAAAAGTCAAAGACAAAGATAGAACTCTAAAATCAGTAAGAGAAAAGAAGCAAATAACGTATAAAGGAGCTCTAATTCATCTGGAAATGGACTTCTTACTAGAAACCATACAGGCCAAGAGGGAGTGAAATGGCATTCTCAAACTGAAAAAAAAAAAAAAAAAAACACCTGCCATCCAAGATATTGCATCCAGCACATTATCCTTCAACTGTGAAGAAGAGTTAAAGTGTTTTCCAGACAAGCAGAAGTTGAAGGAATTTACCACCACCAGATCTGTCTTACAAGAAATGCTAAAGGGAGTTCTTCTGTTGGAAAGAAAAAAAAAAAAACACTAATGTGCAAAAAGAAAATACTTGAAGGTATGAAACCCCTGGATAAAATTAAATACATTAACAAGCCCAGAATACTCTAATACTGTAATTATGGTGTATAATCCACTCATAATTCTAGCATGAAGCCCAAAAGACAAATCTATCAAAAATGGTAACAGCTATAGCAACCTGTTAAGAGACAGATAATATGGAAATACGTAAACTGAGACAACTAAAAGTTAAAATGTAGGGGAATGGAGTTAAAATGTAGATTTTTTTCCACTTTTTTCTTTGATGTAAGATAAATTATCATCTCTTTAGAATAACTTGTTATATATATTTTTTGTCAGCATCATTGCAACCACATCACAAAAATCCATAATAGATTTTAAAAATAAAAAGGAATGAACTAAGACATTCCGCCAGAGAAATTCACTTTTCCACAAAGGAAGATAGTAAGAAAAGAAGAAAGGAAGACAAAAGTTACAAAACCAGAAAATAAGCAACAAGATGGCAGTAGTAAGTCCTTGCTTATCAATAATAATACTGAATGTAAAGGGTCTCAATTTTCCAATTAAAAGGCAGCAAGAGGCTTGATAAAGAAACAAGACTCAACTATATGCAGCCTACAAGAAACCCACTTCACCTATAAAGACACACATAGACTGAGAGTGAAGGGATGGGAAAACACATTCCATACAACTGGAGGTCAAAAAGAGCAAGAGTAGCTATATTTAGATAAAATAGACTACAAATCAATGACTGTAAAAGAAGACAAAGAAGGTCACTATATAATGATAAAGGAGTCAATTCAGCAAAAGGATATAACAATTTTCAGTATCTCTGCACCCAACATTGGGGCTCCCAAATATATAGAGCAAACACTAATAGATCTTCAGGGAGAGAGAGGGCTGCAATGCAATAATAGTAAGAGATTTTAACACACCATTCTCTGTTATCGACAGATCATCCAGACAGAAAATCAACAAAGAAACGGCAGAATTAAACTACACACTAGACCTAATAGGCCTGACATTTACAGAACATTTCACCCAACTGTTGCAGAATGCAAATTCTTTTCAACAGCATATAGAACATTCCCCCAGAATAATCCTATCAGGCCACAAGACACATCTGATCAAATTCAAAAAAGTAGAAGTTATAGCAAGTATCTTTGACCACAATGGACTAAAACTAGAAATCAATAACAAGAGCAACCTTGGAAACTACACAAATATATGTAAATTAAACAACATGCTCCTGAATGATTAGTGGGTCAATGAATACATCAAGAAAGAAATTTAAACATTTTTGAAACAAACGAAAGTTGAAATACAACATACCAAAATCTATGGGATATAGCAGAAGCAGTACTAACAAGGAATTTTACAGTTATAAATGCCTATATCAAAAAAGTAGAAAGACTTAAAATAAACAACCCACGAATGTACCTCAAAGAATTAGAAAGGCAACAAACCAAACCCAAAATTAGTAGCAGGAAATAAATAATGAAGATTAGAGCAGAAATAAATAAAATTGAGACTAAAAAAACTACAGACGATCAACAAAATGAAAAGTTGGCTTTTCAAAAAGATAAACAAAACCAACAAACCTTTAGCTAGACTAAGAAAAACAGAGAAGTTCCAAATAAACAAAATCAGAAACAAAAAGGGAAACATAACAACTGAAACCTCAGAAATACAAAGAGTCATTAGAAACTGTAATGAATCACTAAAAGCCAACAAACTGGGAAATATAGAGGAAATAAATAAATTCCTGGACACAAACAGCCTGCCAAGATTGAACCATGAGGAAATAAACAGCCTCAACAAATCAATAGCGAATAAGGAGACTGACGCTGTAACAAAAAGTCTTTCATCAAAGGAAAGTCCAGGACCTGATGACTTCATTGCTGAATTCTACCAAATATTTAAATAATTAATACCAATTCTCTTCAAACTTCAAAAAAAAAAAATGAAGAGGAAGGAATACTTCCAAACTCATTCTACAAAGCCAGCGTTACTCTGATACCAAAACCATCCAGAGACACACAAGAAAACAAAACTACAGACCAATATTACTGATGAGCATAGATGCAAAAATCCTTAACAAAATACTAGCAAACAGAATTCAACAACACATTAAAAAAATCGTATATCATGAGCAAGTAGAACTCATCCAAGGAATGTGAGGATGGTTCACCATACACAAATCAATAAATTTGATACATCACATTAACAGCACCAAGAACAAAAACCATATGATTATTTCAATAAATGCCAAAACATCATTCAATAAAATTCAGCATCCCTTTCTGATAAAACCCTCATCAAACTGGTTATAAAAGGAACATACCTCAAAATAACAAAGGGCATACATGACATACTTACAGCTAATTTTGCACTGAATGGGGAAAAATTGAAGGCCTTTTCTCTAAGATCTGCAACAAGACAAGTATACCCACTTTCACCACTTTTATTCAATGTAATATCAGAAATCCTAGCCAGAGCAATTAGGCAAGAGAAAGAAATAATGGGCATTCAAATTGGAAAGGAAAAAGCCAAATAGCCTTGTTCACAGATGGCATGATATTATGTTTAGAAAAACCTAAAACTCACCAAAAAACTATTAAAACTGATAAATGAATTCAGTAAAGTCACAGGATACAAAATGAATGTATAAAAATCAATAGCATTTACATATGCAGTAATAAACAATCTGACAAAGAAATCAGAAATGCAGTGGCCTTCAAAATAGCTACCAAGAATATAAAATACCTAGTATTCAATTCAACAAAAGAAGTGATATATCTATACAAGGAAAACTATAAAACTCTGATTAAAAAAATACACACGTACATAAATACCTGATGCAAGAAATAGGACACAAAAAAGGATATTCCGTGTTGATTAATTGGAAGAATTACTATTGTTAAAATGACACTACTACCCAAAGCAATGTACAGATTCAATGCAATCTCTCTCAAAATACCAATAACAGTTTTCACAGAAACAGGACAAAAAATTCTAAAATTTATATGGAACCACAAAAGACCCTGAATAGCTAAAGAAATCCTGAGGTAAAGAACAAAGCTAGAGGCATCATGCTACCCGACTTCAAAATTTACTAGAAAGCTATAGTAACCAAAGCAGCATGGTACTGGCATAAAAAGACACATTGACGAATGGAACAGAATAGAGTGCCCGATATAAATCCACACATTTATAGCCAACTCATCTTCATCAAAGGAGCCAAGAATGGAGACAGGAAAGTCCCTTCAATAAATTGTCCTGGGAAAACTGGAAAACTACATGCAGAAGAATGAAACTAGACCCATACCTCTCACCATACACAAAAATCAAACCGAAATGAATTAAATACTTAAATCTAAGACTTGAACCTATGAAAACTACAAGAAGAAAACATAGGGAAATGCTCCAGGACATTGGTCTGGGCAAAGACTTTTCATACAAGACCTCAAAAGCACAGGCAACCTAAGCAAAAGTGGATAAATAGGATTACCTCAAACTAAAAAGCTTCTGCACAGCAAAGAAAACAATCAACAAAGTGAAGAGACAACGCACAGAATGGAAGAAAATATTTGCAAACCATCCATCTGACAAGTGATTAAAAACCAGAATATATAAGGAGCTCAAACAACTCAATAGCAAAAAAACCCAAATAATCCAATGTAAAAAATGGGCAAAAATCTGAACAGACATTTCTCAAAATAAGACATATAAATGGCCAATGGGTACATAAAAAGTGCTCAGTATCACTAACCATCAGAGAAATGCAAATCAAAACCACAAGGAGATATCATCTCACCCCAATTAAAGTAGCTTTTACCAAAAAAACAGGCAATAATGGATGCTGACAAGGATGTGAACAAAGCGGAACCTTTGTACATTGTCGGTGGGAATATATATTGTTACAATCACTATAAAGGCTCCTCGAAAAACTAAAAATAGAACTACCATATGATCCGACAGTTCCACTACTGGGTTTATATCCAAAAGAAACGATATTAATATACCAAAGAGATATCTGTACTACCATGTTTATTGCTGTACTGTTCACAATAACCAAAATATGTAATTAATCTAAATGCCTATCAATAGGTGAATGGATAAAGTATAATATATATACACACAATAGAATATCATTCATCCATAAAAAACAACAAAATCCTGTCATTTGTAGCAACATGAATAGAAATGAAGGCTATTATGTTAAGTGAAACGAGCCAAGTACAGAAAGACAAATATCACATCTTCTCACTTATATGTGGGAGCTAAAAAAGTGAATCTCATAAAGATAGTAGATTGGTGGTTACCAGAGGCCAGGAAAGGTAGAGGAAGTGGGTAAAGAAGAAAAGATAATTAAGTGGATACAAAGATACACTTTAATAAAAGAAATAAGACCTAGTGTTTGGTGAATCAGTAGGATGACTATACTTTAAAATATCCTATTGTACATTTCAAAATAGCTAGAAGAGAATAATTTGAATGTTTCTAGCATTTTTAAAAAGACAAATATTTAAGGTGATGGATATTCCAAGTACACTGATTTGATTTTTACAAATTATATGAATGTATTAAACTATCACATATACTCTGAAATGATATACATCTATTATGCATCAGCGAAAATTGTTTAGAAGAAACATAGATAATATTGTTTATTCATTACTTCTCCCACCATCATTGGCTATCCTGGGTTCAAATTTTACCTCTGCCAGTTACTGTTTGGGTAATCTTGGGCAAGCCACTTGACCCCTCTGTGCCTCAGTTTCTTCTTCTGTAATGTAAGGGCACTAATGGCATCATACTCATGGGGTTTCACAGATTCAATGAGTAAAGATATACAAAATGCTTAGAACAGTGCCTACTATATAATAAATGTTACATACTGTTGCCTGTCATTGTTAAACACTGAAGATTGGTAATAGGTAGCCTCACTTATTCTACACTCATTAGAGTTGGGTGTGGCTAGAGAAAAGACAAGCATTGTTGTTAGTGAACAATGAAGATCAGGGCTTCTCTACAATAAAGCAACCAAAGATCTTGAGCTTTTCCACAAGGACTTTCATCCTGGACCCTGAAAAATGAAAGAATTATGCCTCGGAAACTGCAAAAGCCAATTCCTAATCCAATTAATGTAATGGTGTTGTTCTTTCTCTCTCTCTCTTCTCTCTCTCATTTTACAGGTATACACTTTATTTGACGATAACAACTTTTTTTTTCCCTCTACCCTTGATTTTGGTGTGCTATATTTTAATTTTATGCTATACTTGGGAGATGTATCAACAGAATAAGGATGCCAGATGGTAAGTGTTTGCCTTGTTTTATTTGTTAAAAGAACAATTTAGATAGCCTAAGACATCTACAATAGAAACTTAGGCAACAGTGACTTGAAACATACCACATTTAGACATGTGGACATTGATATATGTCTATAGAAAAAATTTTTGGAAAATAAGACATGTGCTAAATAAACTGCTTAAGAATCTCTCAGTGACGAGTGTTGAAATCACAGATGTAATGGTTTCATTAAAATGCATACGGAACTCAAGATTCTATTTAAAGAATAATTTTATATTTGTTATTAAGTTATTTAACTGTTTTCATTGCACATTTTGCAGAGTTGCATGCATATGTAAATATCTTAGATGTTATGTGCAACCTTTTAATTTTTGTGTTTCAATTTTTTTAATTTAAAGGAGAAAAGTCTCATTAATATTTGAATTTTAAAGGAAGGGTTTTATTAATATTAAAAGATTAATCAGGAGCAAATGAAACCAAAGAGTTAACCTAAAGTCAATAAACTTGAGAAGGACCTTTGAAGATACTTGTCTCTAAAGCTGCATAAATAAATCTAAATTATTTTCACCTTGAGATTGTGTATTCCACAATCTACTTGTTCAAATGAATAAGTCAGTAATTATATAACCTGTTGGTTAAAAACACACTTACATTTATTAAACATTATATTTTAAATATATTTTTGTGTTTCTTATGAAAAGGCAAGTTTGCTGGGTTTCCCTGCACACTACAAATTTACAAATTTTACAAACTTTTTGTTTAAAAAAATGTGAGCAACTTAACCACCATTCCTCAAAATTTGTGGCAAACCCTTGAACCAAAGGTTTGTAAGTAGTCTGTTGGCTCACAGCATTTTTTTCCCACTTAGTTTCTTGGAATTCTTTGAAAGTCTTGCACTAGTAAAGTGTGGTCCATTTGGGAAGAAAAAGGAAGTAGCCACAGTTACAGAAAAAAAATTAGTTTATAAATGTATCCCAGGGAGCTGAGTTGGTGAGAAGGTTAAAATGAAATCATATGGAATATTAAAGATACCAACAGCTAGAGAGAATGCTTGAGCCTTTTTTAAACAGTTCTCCAAATCAGATCATTTTGCTCCTGACTCATTTCTCAGAAATGCTAAGAGGATCTTATGAAACACATCTCATACACATAAAAATGCAAAAAATTAGAGGAATGATAGTGCCTACTCTGATAAATTGCAGGGGAATCAAATGATTTTTAGCTTCCATGCTTTTAAAATTATTCCCAACTTTTATTCATCTGTTACCCCCATGTCCCAGGGAAATTTCCATTAAACGCCTAAATATGACATAACATGATTAAATATGGGAATTTTAAAATATGTTTTATTTTAAAATAATTTGCATTTCTAAAAAAGTAGATAGTAGAGATATAGTACAGATAGTACAGAGACAGTACAGAGGGTTCCCAAATACCCCTCACTCAGTTTTCCCATTGTTAACATCTTACATTACCTAGGATATTTGTCAAAACAAAGAAAATTGCAGTACATTACTGTTAACTAAATTCCATTCTTTACTGGACTTCACTAGTTTTTCCATTAAAGTCCTAAATCTGTTCCAGATTCAATCCAGAATAGCACATTGGATTTAGTTATCATGTCTTCCCAGTGTCCTCTGATCTGTGAGTTTCTCACTCTTTCCTTATTTTTCATGACCTTCATAGTCTTGAGCACTGGCCAGGTATCCTGTAGAACATTCCCAATACGAGTTCGCCTGATATTGTATCATGATTAGACTGTACTTACATGTTTTTATTTAAAAAAATCAACTCTTCTCATCACAGTATATCAGGGGTCACATGATAGCCACGTTACATCACTGTTGATACTAGCCTTGATTACCTGGTTAAGGTGGTATTTGCTAGGTTTCTCCACCATGAAACTACTATTTATCCCTTTCACTATTCTGTTCTTTGGAAATGAGTCACTAACATAGCCTACCTTCAAAGGGGAAGCAGGAAGATGGGAATTAAGCTCCATCTGCTGAAAGGGGAGTATCTATGTAACAATCCCTATATTATTTAGAATGCTTCTGTAAAAAAGGTCTGGCTCTTCTCTCCTCATTTTATTCAATATTATTTATATTACTATAGACTGATATGTTTCTTTCACACATTGAGTCATAATTTAATGCTTTGTTATTTATTTGGTCTCTCAAAATGTTCCAGCTTTGAACTTTACATGCCAGGAGAGAGTGGCATAACATATTTAAACACTAAAGGAAAAAAACTTATACCCTAGAATAGTATATCCAGCAAAAATACCCTTCAAACATGAAGGAGAAATAAAGACTTTCCCAGATGAACTAAAGCTGAGGAATTTCATCAACACTAGACCTGTCTTACAAGAAATTCTAAAGGGAGAACTTCAATCAGAAATAAAAGGACATGGAGGGAGGAGCCAAGATGGCCGAATAGGAACAGCTCCGGTCTACAGCTCCCAGCGTGAGCGACGCAGAAGACGGGTGATTTCTGCATTTCCATCTGAGGTACCGGGTCCATCTCACTAGGGAGTGCCAGACAGTGGGTGCAGGACAGTGGATGCAGTGCACCGTGAGCGAACCAAAGCAGGGCAAGGCATTGCCTCACTTGGGAAGCGCAAGGGGTCAGGGAGTTCCCTTTCCTAGTCAAAGAAAGGGGTGACAGACGGCACCTGGAAAATCGGGTCACTCCCACCCTAATACTGCGCTTTTCCGACGGGCTTAGGAGACGGCACACCAGGAGATTATATCCTGCACATGGCTCAGGGGGTCCTACGCCCACAGAGTCTCGCTAATTGCTAGCACAGCAGTCAGACCAAACTGCAAGGCGGCAGCGAGGGTGGGGGAGGGTTGCCCGCCATTGCCCAGGCTTTCTTAGGTAAACAAAGCAGCCTGGAAGCTCGAACTGGGTGGAGCCCACCACAGCTCAAGGAGGCCTGCCTGCCACTGTAGGCTCCACCTCTGGGGGCAGGGCACAGACAAACAAAAAGACAGCAGTAACCTCTGCAGACTTAAATGTCCCTGTCTGACAGCTTTGAAGACAGCAGTGGTTCTCCCAGCACACAGCTGGAGATCTGAGAATGGGCAGACTGGCTCCTCAAATGGGTCCCTGACCCCTGACCCCCGAGCAGCCTAACTGGGAGGCACCCCCCAGTAGGGGCAGACTGACACCTCACATGGCCAGGTACTCCTCTGAGACAAAACTTCCAGGGGAACAATCAGACAGCAGCATTCGCGGTTCACGAAAATCCGGTGTTCTGCAGCCACCGCTGCTGGTACCCATGCAAACAGGGTCTGGAGTGGACCTCTAGCAAACTCCAACAGACCTGCAGCTGAGGGTCCTGTCTGTTAGAAGGAAAACTAACAAACAGGACATCCACACCAAAAACCCATCTGTACATCACCATCATCAAAGACCAAAAGTAGATAAAACCACAAAGATGGGGAAAAAACAGAGCAGAAAAACTGGAAACTCTAAAAAGCAGAGCGCCTCTCCTCCACCAAAGGAACACAGCTCCTCACCAGCAATGGAACAAAGCTGGATGGAGAATGACTTTGACGAGTTGAGAGAAGAAGTCTTCAGATGATCAAACTGCTCTGAGCTACAAGAGGAAATTCAAACCAAAGGGAAAGAAGTTAAAAACTTTGAAAAAAAATTTAGACGAATGCATAACTAGAATAACCAATACAGAGAAGTGCTTAAAGGAGCTGATGGAGCTGAGAGCCAAGGCTCAAAAACTACGTGAAGAATGCAGAAGCCTCAGGAGCTGATGGCGATCGATTGGAAGAAAGGGTATCAGTGACAGAAGATGAAATGAATGAAATGAAGCAAAAGGGAAGTTTAGAGAAAAAAGAATAAAAAGAAACGAACAAAGCCTCCAAGAAATATGGGACTATGTGAAAAGACCAAATCTACGTCTGATTGGTGTACCTGAAAGTGACAGGGAGAATGGAACCAAGTTGGAAAACACTCTGCAGGATATTATCCAGGAGAACTTCCCCAATCTAGCGAGGGAGGCCAACATTCAGATTCAGGAAATACAGAGAACGCCACAAAGATACTCCTTGAGAAGAGCAACTCCAAGACACATAATAGTCAGATTCACCAAAGTTGAAATGAAGGAAAAAATGTTAAGGGCAGCCAGAGAGAAAGGTCGGGTTACCCACAAAGGGAAGCCCATCAGACTAACAGCGGATCTCTCGGCAGAAACCCTACAAGCCAGGAGAAAGTGAGGGCCAATATTCAACATTCTTAAAGAAAAGAATTTTCAACCCAGAATTTCATATCCAGCCAAACTAAGCTTCGTAAGTGAAGGAGAAATAAAATACTTTACAGACAAGCAAATGCTGAGAGATTTTGTCACCACCAGGCCTGCCCTAAAAGAGCTCCTGAAGGAAGCACTAAACATGGAAAGGAACAACCGGTACCAGCCACTGCAAAATCATGCAAAATTGTAAAGACCGTCGAGGCTAGGAAGAAACTGCATCAACTAACGAGCAAAATAACCAGCTAACATCATAATGACAGGATCAAATTCACACATAACAATATTAACTTTAAATGTAAATGGACTAAATGCTCCAATTAAAAGACACAGACTGGCAAATTGGATAAAGAGTCAAGATGCATCAGTGTGCTGTATTCAGAACACCCATCTCACGTGCAGAGACACACATAGGCTCAAAATAAAAGGATGGAGAAAGATCTACCAAGCAAATGGAAAACAAAAAAAGGCAGGGGTTGCAATCCTAGTCTCTGATAAAACAGACTTTAAACCAACAAAGATCAGAAGAGACAAAGAAGGCCATTACATAATGGTAAAGGGATCAATTCAACAAGAAGAGCTAACTATCCTAAATATATATGCACCCAATACAGCAGCACCCAGATTCATAAAGCAAGTCCTGAGTGACCTAAAAAGAGACTTAGACTCCCACACAATAATAACGGGAGACTTTAACACCCTACTGTCAACATTAGACAGATCAATGAGACAGAAAGTTAACAAGGATACCCAGGAATTGAACTCAGCTCTGCACCAAGCAGACCTAATAGACATCTACAGAACTCTCCACCCCAAATCAACAGAATATACATTTTTTTCAGCACCACACCACACCTATTCCAAAATTGACCACATACTTGGAAGTAAAGCTCTCCTCAGCAAATGTAAAAGATCAGACATTATAGCAAACTGTCTCTCAGACCACAGTGCAATCAAACTAGAACTCAGGATTAAGAAACTCACTCAAAACTGCTCAACTACATGGAAACTGAACAACCTGCTCCTGAATGACTACTGGGTATATAACGAAATGAAGGCAGAAATAAAGATGTTCTTTGAAACCAACGAGAACAAAGACACAACATACCAGAATCTCTGGGACACATTCAAAGCAGAGTGTAGAGGGAAATTTATAGCACTAAATGCCCACAAGAGAAAGCAGGAAAGATCCAAAATTGACACCCTAACATCACAATTAAAAGAAGTAGAAAACCAAGAGCAAACACATTCAAAAGCTAGCAGAAGGCAAGAAATAACTAAAATCAGAGCAGAACTGAAGGAAATAGAGACACAAAAAACCCTTCAAAGAATTAATTAATCCAGGAGCTGGTTTTTTGAAATGATCAACAAAATTGATAGACCGCTAGCAAGACTAATAAAGAAGAAAAGAGAGAAGAATCAAATAGAGGCAATAAAAAGTGATAAAGGGGATATCACCACTGATCCCACAGAAATACAAACTACCATCAGAGAACACTACCAACACCTCTACGCAAATAAACTAAAAAATCTAGAAGAAATGGATAAATTCCTCAACACATACACCCTCCCAAGACTAAACCAGGAAGAAGTTGAATCTCTGAATAGACCAATAACAGGATCTGAAATTGTGGCAATAATCAATAGCTTACCAACCAAAAAGAGTCCAGGACCAGATGGATTCACAGCCGAATTCTACCAGAGGTACAAGGAGGAACTGGTACCATTCCTTCTGAAACTATTCCAATCAATAGAAAAAGAGGGAATCCTCCCTAACTCATTTTATGAGGCCAGCGTCATCCTGATACCAAAGCCGGGCAGAAACACAACCAAAAAAGAGAATTGTAGACCAATATCCTTGATGAACATTGATGCAAAAATCCTCAATAAAATACCAGCAAACTGAATTCAGCAGCGCATCAAAAAGCTTATCCACCATGATCAAGTGGGCTTCATCCCTGGGATGCAAGGCTGGTTCAATATATGCAAATCCATAAAGGTAATCCGCAATATAAACAGAACCAAAGACAAAAACCACACGATTATCTCAATAGATGCAGAAAAGGCCTTTGACAAAATTCAACAACACTTCATGCTAAAAACTCTCAATAAATTAGGTATTGATAGGATGTATCTCAAAATCATAAGAGCTATCTATGACAAACCCACAGCCAATATCATACTGAATGGGCAAAAACTGGAAGCATTCCCTTTGAAAACTGGCACAAGACAGGGATGCCCTCTCTCACCACTCCTATTCAACATAGTGTTGGAAGTTCTGGCCAGGGCAATTATGCAGGAGAAGGAAATAAAGTGTATTCAATTAGGAAAAGAGGAAGTCAAATTGTCCCTGTTTGCAGATGACATGATTGTATATCTAGAAAACCCCATTGTCTCAGTCCAAAATCTCCTTAAGCTGATAAGCAACTTCAGCAAAATCTCAGGATACAAAATCAACGTACAAAAATCACAAGCATTCTTATACACCAATAACAGACAAACAGAGAGCCAAATCATGAGTGAACTCCCATTCACAATTGCTTCAAAGAGAATAAAATACCTAGGAATCCAACTTACAAGGGACGCGAAGGACCTCTTCAAGGAGAGCTACAAACCACTGCCCAATGAAATAAAAGAGGATACAAAGAAATGGAAGAACATTCCATGCTCATGGGTAGGAAGAATCAACATCATGAAAATGGCCAAACTGCCCAAGGTAATTTATAGATTCAATGCCATCCCCATCAAGCTACCAATGACCTTCTTCACAGAATTGGAAAAAACTATTTTAAAGTTCATATGGAACCAAAAAAGAGCCCACATCGCCAAGTGAATCCTAAGCCAAAAGAACAAAGCTGGAGGCATCATGCTACCTGACTTCAAACAATACTACAAGGCTGCAGTAACCAAAACAGCATGGTACTGGTACCAAAACAGAGATATAGATCAATGGAACAGAACAGAGCCCTCAGAAATAACACTGCATATCTACAACTATCTGATCTTTGACAAACCTGAGAAAAACAAGCAATGGGGAAAGGATTCCCTATTTAATAAATGGTGCCGGGAAAACTGGCTAGCCATATGTAGAAAGCTGAAACTGGATCCCTTCCTTACACCTTATACAAAAATTAATTCAACATGGATTAAAGACTTAACGTTAGACCTAAAACCATAAAAACCCTAGAAGAAAACCTAGGCATTACCATTCAGGACATAGGCATAGGCAAGGACTTCATGTCTAAAACACCAAAAGCAATGGCAACAAAAGCCAAAATTGACAAATGGAGTCTAATTAAACTGAAGAGCTTCGGCACAGCAAAAGAAACTACCATCAGAGTGAACAGGCAACCTACAAAATGGGAGAAAATTTTCACAACCTACTCATCTGACAAAGGGCTGATATCCAGAATCTACAATGAACTCAAACAGATTTACAAGAAAAAAACAAACAACCCCATCAAAAAGTGGGCGAAGGACATGAACAGACACTTCTCAAAAGAAGACATTTATGCAGCCAAAAAAACACATGAAAAAATGCTCACCATCACTGGGCCTCAGACAAATGCAAATCAAAACCACAATGAGATACCATCTCACACCAGTTAGAATGGCCATCATTAAAAAGTCAGGAAACAACAGGTGCTGGAGAGGATGTGGAGAAATAGGAACACTTTTACACTGTTGGTGGGACTGTAAACTAGTTCAACCATTGTGGAAGTCAGTGTGGCGATTCCTCAGGGATCTACAACTAGAAATACTATTTGACCCAGCCATCCCATTACTGGGTATATACCCAAAGGACTATAAATCATGCTGCTATAAAGACACATGCATACGTATGTTTATTGTGGCACTATTCACAGTAGCAAAGACTTGGAACCAACCCAAATGTCCAACAATGATAGACTGGATTAAGACAATGTGGCACATATACACCATGGAATACTATGCAGCCATAAAAAATGATGAGTTCATGTCCTTTATAGGGACATGGATGAAATTGGAAATCATCATTCTCAGTAAACTATCGCAAGGACAAAAAACCAAACACCACATGTTCTCACTCATAGGTGGGAATTGAACAATGAGAACACATGGACACAGGAAGGGGAACATCACACTCTGGGGACTGTTGTGGGGTGGGGGCAGGGGGAAGGGATAGCATTAGGAGATATACCTAATGCTAAATGACGAGTTAATGGGTGCAGCACACCAGCATGGCACATGTATACATATGTAACTAACCTGCACATTGTGCACATGTACCCTAAAACTTAAAGTATAATAATAATAAAATAAAAAATAAAAATAAAAAATAAAATAAAATAACAAAAAAAACAAAAATAATAACTACAACAACTTTTCAAGACATAGATAATACAATAAGATATACACTGAAACAACAAAAAGTTAAAAATTGGGGGTACAAAGTTAAGGTGTAGAGTTTTTACTGGTTTTCTTTTTGCTTGTTTGTTTATGTAAACAGTGTTAAGTTGTTATCAGGTTAAAATAATGCCTTATAAGATAGTATTTGTAAGACTTATGGCAACCTCAAATCAGAAAACATACAATGGATAAACAAAAAATAAAAAGCAATAAACTAAATCCTATTACCAGAGAAAATCACCTTCACTAAAGGAAGACAGGAAGGAAAGAAAGAAGGAAGAGAACGCAAAACAACCAGAAAACAAATTTTAAAATGGCAGGAGTAAGTCCTTGCTTATCAATAATAACATTGAATATAAATGGACTAAACTCTTCAATCAAAAGACAAAGACTGGCTGACTGAATGAAAAAACAAGACCTGTTGATCTATTGCCTTCAAGAAACACACTTCAACTATAAAGACACACATAGACTGAAAAAAAAGGAATGGAAAAACATACACCATACCAATGGAAACCAAAAAAAGCAGGAGTAGTCATATCAGACAAAATAGATTTCAGTTAGAAAACTATAACAAGAGACAAAGAAGATCACCATATAATGATAAAAAGGGGTCAATTTAGCAAGAGGATATAACAATTTAAAATATATATTCACCCAACACTGGAGTATCCAGATATATAAAGCAAATATTATTAGAATTAAAGAGAGAGATAGGCCCCAATATAATAGTAGCTGGAAACTTCAATAACTTACTTTCAGCATTGAACAAATCTTCCAGCCAGAAAATTGACAAAGAAACATTGGACTTAATGTGCACTGTAGACCAAATGGATCTAATATATATTTACAGGACATCTCATCCAATGACATCAGAATATACATTATTTTCCTCAGCACATGGATCATTCTCAAGGATAGAACATATGTTAGGTCACAAAACAAGTCTTTAAAAATTCAAATAATTGAAATAATACCAAACATCTTCTCTGACCACAATAGAATAAAACTGTAAATCAATAACAAGAGGAATTTTGGAAACTATACAAACACATGGAAATTACAAAATATGCTCCTGAATGACCAGTGGGTCAAAGAAGAAATTAAGGAAGTTGAAAAATTTCTTGAAACAAATGATAATGGAAACACAACATACCAAAACCTATGGGATACATCAAAAGCAGTACTAAATGGGAAGTTTATAGCTGTAAGTGCCTACATCAAAAAGATGAAAAATGTCAAATAAACAGTCTAATAATGTACCTTAAAGAACTAGAAAAGCAAGAGCAAACCAAACCCAAAATTAGAAGAAAGAAACAATAAAGATCACAGCAGAAATGAATGAAATTAAAATGAAGAAAACAATAGAAGAGATCAGTGAAACAAAAATCTGATTTTTTTTAAAGTTAAACAAAATTGACAAACTTTTAGCCAGACTAACTGAGAAAAAGACAGAAGATCTAAATAAATAAATTTGGAAATGGAAATGTAGACCTTACAACTGATACTGCAGAAATTCAAAGGATCATTAGTGGCTACCATGAGCAACTGTATGCCATTAAATTGGAAAACCTAGAAGAAATGGACAAATTCCTATACATATATAACCTACCAAGATTGAACCAGGAAGAAATCCAAAATCTGAACAGACCACTAACAAGTAACAAGATCAAAGCCATAATTAAAAGTCTCCCAAGAAACAAAAACCCAGGACCCAATGGCTTCATTGAATCCTGCTAAACATTTAAAAAGCTAATACAAATTCTAATCAAATTATTCTGAAATGTGGAAGAGCAGGGAATAATTCCAAACTCATTCTACAACACCAGTATTACTGTGATACTAAAATCAGACAAAGACACAACAAAAAACTACAGGCAGATCTCTCTGATGAATATTCATGCAAAAATTCACAACAAAATATTAGCAAACCAAATTCAATAATATATTAGAAATCTCATTCATCATGACCAAGTGGGATTTATCCCAGGGGTGCCAGGATGATTCAACGTATGTAAATTAATCAATGTAATACATCATATCAACAGAATGATCATTTAAATGATCAACATATGATCATTTAAATTCAATATAATAAATAGAAATATCAAATGCTGAAAAAGCATCTGATAAAATTCAACATCTCTTTATGATAAAAACCTTAAAAAAACTAGTTATAGGAGGAACATACCTCAACATAATAAAAGCCATATATGACAGACACCCAGCTAGCATCATACTGAATGGGGAAAAAACTAAAAGACTTCCCTCTAAGATTTGGAACATGACAAGGATGCCCACTTTCACCACTGTTATTTAACATAGTACTGAGGTCCTAGCTAGAGCAATCAGACAAAAGAAAGAAATAAAGGACATCCGAATTGGAAAGGAATAAGCCAAATTATCCTTGTTTACAGATGACATGATTTTATATTTGGAAAACTCTAAAGACTCCACACACAAAAAAAACTATTAGAACTGATAAACAAATTCGGTAAAGTTTCAGGATACAAAATCAACATACAAAAATCAGTAGCATTTCCATATGCCAACAGTCAACAATCTGAAAAAGAAATAAAAAAGTAAGCCCATTGATAATAGCCACAAATAAAATTAAATACCTAAAAACTTAACAAAGAAGTGAAAGATCTCTATAATGAAAACTATAAAACACTGATGAAAGAAATTGAAGAGGACACCAAAAAATGGAAAGATATTCCACATTCATTGTTTGGAAAAATCAGTATTGTTAAAATGTTCATACTACCCAAAGCAATCTACGGATTCAAAGCAATGTCTATCAAAATACCAATGATATTCTTCACAGAAATAGAAAAAAAAATCTTAAAATTTATATGGAACCACAACAGACCCAGAATAGCCAAATATATCCTGAGCAAAAAGAATAAAACTAGAGGAATCATATTACCTTACTTCAAATAATACTACAGATCTATGGTAACCAAAACAGCCTGGTACTGGCATAATAACAGAGACATAGACCAATGAAACAGAATAGAAAACCCAGAAACAAATTCACACACCTACAATGAATTCATTTTTAACAAAGGTGCCAAGAACATATACGCTGGGGAAAAGACAGCCTCTTCAATAAATGATGCTGGTAAAATTGGATGTCCATATGCAGAAGAATGAAACTAGAGCCCCATTTCTCATTATATACAAAAATCAAATCAAAGTGGATTAAAGACTTAAATCTAAGACTTCAAACTATGAAACTTCTACCAGAAAATATTGGAGAAAATCTCCAGGACATTGGTCTGGGCAAAATTTCTTACTCCACAGGCACGGGCAACCAAAGCAAAAAATGGACAAATGGGTCCGGGCGCGGTGGCTCATGCCTATAATCCCAGCACTTTGGATGGCCGAGGCGGGCGGATCGCGAGGTTAGGAGATCAAGACCATCCTGGCTAACACGGTGAAACCCTGTCTCTTACTAAAAATACAAAAAATTAGCTGGGTGTGGTGGCAGGCGCCTGTAGTCCCAGCTACTCGGGAGGCTGAGGCAGGAGAATGGCATGAACCCAGGAGGCGGAGCTGGCAGTGAGCCGAGATTGTGCCACTGCACTCCAGTCTGGGCGACAGAGCGAGACTCCGTCTCAAAAAAAAAAAAAAAAAATGGACAAATGGGATCGCAACAAGTTGAAAAGCTTGGCTATATAAATTGCCAAGATTTAGAATCAACCTAAGTGTCCATCAACAGATCAATAGATAAAAATAATGTGATATGTGTACACAATGGAGTACTATTCAGCCATAAAACAGAATGAGATACTGTCAATTGCAAGAACATGGATGGAACTGAAAGTCATTATGTTAAGTGAAATAAACCAGGCACAGAAAGACAAACATCACATGTTCTCACACATTTGTGGGATCTAAAAATCAAAACAATTTTACTCATGGACATAGAGAGTAGAAAGATGGTTACCAGAGGCTGGAAAGGGTAGTAGGGGCCTGAGGGTGAGGTGAGGATGGTTAATGGGTATTAAAAAATAGTTCAAAAGAATGAATAAGGCCTAGCATTTGATAGCACAACAAGGTGACTATAGTCAATAATAATTGTACTTTTAAAAATAACTAAAAGAGTATAATTGGATTGTTCGTAATACAAAGTATAAATGCTTCAAGGGATGGATACCCAATTCTTCATGATGTGATTATTACACATTGCATGCCTGTATCAAAACATCTCATTTACCCCATAAATATATACACCTACTATGTACCCACAAAAAATTTAAAAAATTAACAACAACGAAAAAAAGTTCCAGCTTTGGAAACTTTGGAAAGTTTTCAACAAGAATAAAAAAGAATATATCACAATGCACCAAGTAAGTAGGAATATAATAATGAGCTTCATATTTCACTACAAAGCCATTATGAACTGTCCAAAAGGTTCTAGGAACACATTGCCCCATAATTTCTATGGTTGTTTATACCCTGTCTATCTGAATGTTTCCTCTGCAGCTGCAATCCCAGTGTACCAAAACAGAGAGTGATGAAGTTGACAAAGATGGTGCTGGTGCTGGTGGTAGTCTTTATCCTGAGTGCTGCCCCTTATCATGTGATACAACTGGTGAACTTACAGATGGAACAGCCCACACTGGCCTTCTATGTGGGTTATTACCTCTCCATCTGTCTCAGCTATGCCAGCAGCAGCATTAACCCTTTTCTCTACATCCTGCTGAGTGGAAATTTCCAGAAACGTCTGCCTCAAATCCAAAGAAGAGCGACTGAGAAGGAAATCAACAATATGGGAAACACTCTGAAATCACACTTTTAGGAAAGTACATGGATCACCATGAGTCTAGACATGATTGTCTATCTTACTGGTATTATCAGAAAGGGCAGGTGTACCGATATGTTTATGCCCATTCTTCTTGTGTACTTGTGACTCTTAGCAGCATGGAAGAGAAGTGTAACCATGCAAATACAATGAGCTTAATATGCTAACTTTAGCAAGATGTAAAATGTTGATCTATATTGTGGGTAGGGAATGGGATAGTCTGAGATACCCAGGCTTCATGATGGTGTATATTATTTCAGCATATTATAAACTAGTCACTAATGAAAATGGCCATCCATGACCATTGACTCAAAACTCACCAAGGAACCTGACCTTGCCCTCCACACTGTGGCCTCACTGTAACAGTTTCCTCAAGGTTCCTAGGAGGGTATCACCTTAGAGTGAAGTCTAAAATTTGGCTATTTTTTATCTATAAAAAATGTCAGTTTTATATGGTCCAATACTAATACCCTCAACAACTAAGCCCCACCTTTTAGAATAAGTTACCATTTATTGCACACATGCAATGTGTAAGATTACATGTAACAAACCTGTGAAATAAGTATTATTACCTTTGTTTGCTAAGGCTCAGAAAGGAGAAATGATAGGCCTAATGCTGCAACAGCTATCTAAGAGCTGAGCTAACATTCAGCTCTGCCTGTTTCTTTTCTACTGCACGACCTTGACAACCTTTACTTATCATACTGGAGAACCCAGTAACTTGGAGTTTCTTTTGCTTTCTCCTGTAGCCCTACAAGAGGAGAACTAAAGTCTGATAGAAATGAGTTGATGTTTTAAGCATCATTTTGGATTATCTTTGTTCTCACACCTGCTAACTGTAGAAACTGGCATCTGCACTTTAATAATAATACTTTACTTCTGGACTTTAAGCATAATTAGGAAACATTCCTGGCCGGGTGCAGTGGCTCATGCCTGTAATCCCAGCACTTTGGGAGGTGGAGGCAGGTGGATCACAAAGTCAGAAGTTCAAGACCAGTCTGGCCAACATAGTGAGACCCTGTCTACTAAAAATAAAAAAAGATTAGCCGAGCATGGTGGTGTGTGCCTGTAGTCCCAGCTACTCAGGAGGCTGAGGCAGGAGAATTGCTTGAACCCAGGAGGTGGAGGTTACAGTGAGCCGAGATCACGCCACTGCACTCCAGCTTGGGCAATAGAGTGAGACGTCATCTCAAAAAAAAAAACAAAACAAACAAAAAAAAAAACAAGAAACATTCCCTTTTGGTTACAGTATACATGTTTGTTCTAAGGTACAAAAAGTAATTAGCCCTTAAATTTTCATAGGTATTCATTATATCTATCTTTCCTCTTTAGACTTATATATAGTTAGGAAAGGAAACAATGCATTTAATGCCTGTGTTCTACACTAAGACAAATATTGTTATTTTTGCTTGTGGATAAAGTCTGTAAACCCACCTTCTTCATCTAAATACATTAAATTTGTTTTCTCCGTAAACATCTGAAACCAATTTTCAACCAGCCCCTTCTAGAAAAAGAGTTAACCATTTTTATATCTGATCTCCATTTTTATATTTCAATTGTGTTTGGATAAACTTGTATTTGAATCAACCCAGACGTGATTTTTAACCCTATTTATTTTACTCTAGAATTTTTAGGCACCATTTCAGAACTGGATAGTATCTA